>NC_000009.12:101402370-101553885 GCF_000001405.40 Homo sapiens
ACCTCATAGGGTTATTGTGAGCATTGACTGAATTAATGTATGTAAAACACTTGACACACTAACATGTAGTTAAGAACAATATAAATGTTGACTTATATTGTTGTCATCATCTTCTCTGTTGAGTTTCCAATTCCTAGTCATCTTTTGAAGACCACATGAGTAATTCAAACCTGGCAAGTTTCAATCCATTAAAATCAAGGGCCTTCTCTTTCTTTGTTTTACCAGAGCTAAGCACTCCTTTCTTTGTTTTACCTTGTATATACTCCTGCTATTGAATTTATCATACTATACTACAATCATTCTATATATGTTACTTTTCTAACCTCACTGATTACTGTGAGGATGGTAGATATACCTGTTGCATTTGATTTCTCCAGCACTTAGCACAGAGCCAGGCCTATATTATATGCTTCTTAAATATTTATATGACTGAGTAAGTACAGTTAACTTAAGACTCAGTATCTCTTAACTGGATTATTACATTAACCCCTAAACTACCCCCTTGCCACTAGTCTCCTTTTTTAAAATATATTCTCTCTACTGCCACCAAAGTGATTTTGTATTAGTTAACTGTGTAAAACTTCTGATGGTTCCTGATAGCTTAAATGATAAAAATCTTAATTTCTTATCATATAGGACCTTCCAAGTATAGCCTCTGCCTATCTTTCTTGCCTCACCTGTTTTTTCCTGCACACCACTTTAGTCTTCAGCCATATCAGCTGCTGATATGTGTGTGTGTGTGTGTGTGTGTGTGTTTTAATATACCATGTTGTCTCTCAGTCACTGCCAGCTTATCCATACATATGGTATTCTGGTTGATAGAACCAAGTAAGTGCCTGGCCCTGCCTTCTCCTAGAACTGCAGCATGTAAATACCATATGGACAAGGTGTGACAGTGTGCCCACAGATGATCTTCTACTTGTAGGCTGTCTTCTTTATTTCAGCTTAAATACAGCTTTCCATATTCATCATTTCTCCTCCCACAGTCTTTTCATCCTCCTCAATAAACACTATCTCCATCCCTTTGGTGAGAGCTCCCTTGATGAGAGATCACTATTACTCTACTGTTGCAATGCAGTATTCTCTTCTACATCATCTTAACTGCTTTTCATAATGCAACTCTTGTCTAGCTTTATAGTTTTGGCTTTTCATTCATACTTTTCCTTTTCAAGCTTATTTTTAAAAAAACTTTAATAGCTACATCGATGATACAGTTGATAGCTTAATTTCTCAGATCTTTGACATCTTCAATTTTAATGACTCTTTCCGCAATGACTTGCAGATTGCCACCTTATTACTGTGTCTTCACATGGCAGAAGGGGAGAGAGATAGAGCAAACGTTCTGGTCTTTGTTCCTCTTTTTATAAGAACACTAATCCCATCATGGGGGCCCAACCTTCATGACCTCATCTAAATTTAATTACTTCCCAAAGGCCCCGCCTCCAAATATCATCACATTGTGGATTAGGGCTTCACCATATGAATATTTGGTGGGAACACAAACATTCAGTCTATAACACTGTCTTATCTCTTTTTTCTCCTTGACGGTTTAGTCTTTTCTCCTTATGTTCACATTCTTCTGTCCTTTTGGCTTCTGGTTTGATAGGTTACAATTCTAGCTACCTTCCGAATAACTAGCGATTTCAGTTTTAATTCCAGGTTCTTTGGCGAAACCCACTTTGAGACAACTATCTGTGTAGAAAAATTGGCCATGACCACAGGATGGGAAGATATTGCATAAGCATTGCCAAGCCCAGATCTAATGGATAGTCACTTCAAGGCTGCTCTGTGTGGAAGCCTTACTCTTGTTTTTTTCACCTGCCTATCCTGTTGACCTATTTATTTTTATGTGAATGTCATTGTTTTATTCGCTTTAACAATATATTACATTTTGTGTCTGGTAATATAAGTCATTCTTTAATAATCTTTTTCAGGATGTACTTCACTAGTCTGCCTTCTTCTAAACTTTAGATTTATTTACTTTTTTATTGGTTCATGTGATTTTTGATTGGAATGATTAGTTTCATAGATTGAAAGGAATTGAGATCCTTATAATATTGAATCTCTTTAGCCATTTGGTTGACTCTGTTTAACTGTATCCTTTTGTCTTTCAGAAAAATTGTATGGAATATTTTTATGGATCTTACACATTTCTTATGTTTATTCCTAGGTTTTATGTTTTTTGTTACTATTGTGAAGCATTTATATCATTTCTGTATAATATTTACTAACTTTTTTTGTACTAAGAACAAGCTTTTTAATCTTGTTATGATTATATTTTCATTTGCTTCTTCCAGGAATTTTAGGTATATATTCATATCATCTTCAAGTAATGATCATTTTGTCTTATTCATTTGAATGAAATTGACAGAACAGTATCCACTAATCCAACTAACATAACTGAACAAATATTCTGAAGAGACTGCCTTCTCACAAAGAATTTACAATCTAGTGGAAGAGACAAATAACGAACAGTTAAAAAATGCAGTGTAATCATAGCAATAATAGAATTATGGTCGAGGGCTGGTAATAAAAAAATAGAACACCTGAATCTGTCTAGTGGACTTAGTAAAGGCTTTGTAGAGGAACTGTTGCTTTAAACTTAAAGATTGCTTTGAATCTTAAAACCAAAAGTTTGCCAGGTAAACAGTGTTGAGGGACATTTAGTAAATGAGATATGTGAAGATAAGACATGAAAGACTGTAACACAAACAATTTGCCTACATAAAGTATGATAAAGTAGGTAGGAACATGACTTGAGGCTTAGAGACTGTGTCATGAAGAGTTGTATCATAGCAAAGAGCTTGATTCGATCTTAAAGGTGATGGGGAGCTGCTAAATCTACAGGTGATGACTTGAGTAGAATTCTGTTTTATAGAGATCTCTTCTAGAATCAGTAAGGCATATATAATGTGTTGGCAGCCTAAAGACTGGAGCCAAAGATTATAAGGCAGCTACATGATTGTGAGGGATGAAAGATAGGTGCTAGAGAGAAATCCAGGATTTGGATGATTGATTAACGTGAGAAGAAGGGAGAAATACAGGATGATTGCTGCTTTGAGACTATAGGGTAATGGATGATGGTGCCTTTCAAGAGATAATTAAAGGTGGGGAAAGGCATGAAAGCAGATGATGATGACCATGTTAATTGTGAGCCCTTTGTGAGGCATTTAACTGGAGATATCTGGAGGGTGTATATACAGAACAAGTAAGGATGTAAATGTGGGTAACAATAACAAAAGTCAGTTGACAAAGGAAAAGAAATAAATGAGGGAAATTTATCAGAAAAGGCCAAAGAAGTAGGGAAGGAAATAAAAGAATGTGGTAGTGTAGAAACCAAAAACAGATAATGTCAAGAAATAGGGGTGGTCAACAGTGTTAGATGCTGCTGAATAACATAAGGACTGAAACATGCCCATTTTAGGCCAGGCACGGTGGCTCACTTCTGTAATCCCAGCACTTTGGGAAGCTGAGGTGGGTGGATCACCTGAGGTCAGAGTTCGAGACCAACATGGTGCCCCATCTCTACTAAAAATGCAAAAAAATTAGCTAGGCACAGTGGCGGGTGCCTGTAATCCCAGCTACTTGGGAGGCTGAGGCAGGAGAATTGCTTGAACCCGCGAGGTGGAGGTTGTAGTGAGCCAAGATCACTCCAGCCTGGGCAATAAGAGTGAAACTCTGTCTCAAAAAAAAAAAAAAAATGCCCGTTTTATTTTTATTTGAGTCATTGGTAATCTAATGAGAAGTTTCTCTAGATGCTGGAAACAGAAACCAGATTTCGCCACAGGTTGCAGAATAGATTGAATAGGAAGAGGTTGGGCTTGGAAAACATAAGAAATAGAAAACCTCGGTGTTAAGATTTTTTTTCAATGCTTGGCTTTCATAAAGAGAAGGATTTCAGGTTCAAGATAAAATTGGACATATTTATGTAATGGTAGGAAAGTGTCAATAGAGAGTGTGTATTGAAGAAAGAGGAAAGACGGGATAATTAAGCAAATGCCCAGAGGTGAGTAGGATCGGTAAGTGATGGATGGATTAGCCTTGCATAAGAATCAGATATATCTTTATGTACCATTGGCAGATAATTTTATAGGTAGAGGACAGAAAGTTGAGGGAGTTCTTTCATGTTTTTTCATTATGTGAAAGAAAATACAGCCCACTGAAAAATTTGAGAGGGGACACTAAAAAGCCTTAGAAGAAATAAAATTTCTAGTAGTTTCTTAGGGGAATAGGAAAAGGTTATTTTAGAATAAAATAATGAAGTAAGCAAATAGAAAATTCAAAGATGACTCCACAAAAAATTGAGAGAAAAGAGGATGTATGAAAAAGGAGCTTGTTTAGGGCCAAATATAAATGTGGTCATTATTGAATCTTCTAGCGGAATTATCTAATATCTATTCCAGCAAGAGATGGAAAATCAGGAAGATGTCCGAAGCGGGCCTAGATGTACTATATGACACTCTGTTATATCATAGACCACTGTGCTGTCTTTTCTTCAACACATGCAAGATTTTCATTTCTCAGATGTCATGCAGCCTCTCAGTTGGAACAAGATGGTGAACCTTGGGTCTTATATTGTTAGAGGGTTTAGAATCACATGTACTTGAGGTATGATTTGTGGTAGGTAAAGTCATAAGCTACCACAGACTGCCCTTTTTGGTTGTTGCTCCCATGAACTCTGACCATGTTTCTTAATACTTATTTTATTCTGCATCTCGATATCATAGACTCTCTGTCACCTAACCCTTTATTATTGTTTTTAAAAGCCATTTTGTCTCTTTATACAGGAGCTGCTTTTTACTTAATATTTTCTTTATCATATTATTTTCTTTCCCCATTTTTTACTTAACATCCATTCCATTTGGCAGGGGGGCTTCATGTCTTATCTCTGAATCCTGGCTGATTACAATGTTTCTGGAGTGCTTTTGATGGGCAGTGAGTAAATGCTTGTTAATGAATGAATTATTGTTTCCCCTGGATCTTTGTCTTTTATCCTTCTTAGCATCTTTTTTTATTTTTATTTTTATTTTTTTGAGATTAGGTCTCACTCTATTGCCTAGGCTGGTGTGCAGCGACGCAAACACAGCTTGCTGCAGCCTCAACCTGTTGGGCTTAAGTGATCAATCCTCCCACCTCAGCTACCTGAGTAGCTGGGACTACAGGTGTGTACCACCATGTCTGGCTAATTAAAAAAAAATTTTTTTTTTGTAGAGATGAAGTCTCACTGTTGCCCAGGCTGGTCTCAAACTCCTGAGCTCAAGTGATCCTCCCACCTCACTCTCCCAAAATGCTGGGATTACAGGCATGAGCCACTATGCCTGGCCATTAGCATCTGGTCCCTTCTGTTAATTATTTGGTCTGATCATATTCCAATAATGCTTTCTCATCCTTAATTTTCTTGAACTTAGTGGAGTTTTTTTTCATCCTACCCTGTTTTCCTTGATAGACTGATTAATCCCACCTTGACTTTATTTGTTTCTTTGTTTGCCCATCTTACTTTGTTTCTCCTTGCTTCAAAGACCTTGGTTGATCTTTGTATTTCCTTTTTATTATTCCAGATGTTTTGAACAGAGATAAGGATGAGGAGCCAACTGTAAAACAAGAGATTGAAGAAATTGAGGAAGAAGTGGAACCACAGGGTGTAATAGTTACAAGAATCAAAAGTGAAATTGACCAGGATCCTATGGGTAGAGAAACATTTGAACTTGTTGGTAGGTTAGATAAACAAAGAGGGATCTTCCTATGGGAAATACCAAGGGAATCTTTGACCCAGGAACAGAGAATGTTCAGAGAAAACACTAACATTATCCGTAAAAGACCAAACTCAGAAGAGAAATGCCATAAATGTGAAGAATGTGGAAAGGGTTTTGTCCGCAAGGCCCATTTCATTCAACATCAAAGGGTCCATACTGGTGAGAAACCTTTTCAGTGCAATGAATGTGGGAAAAGTTTTAGTCGCAGTTCATTTGTTATTGAACATCAGAGAATTCACACTGGGGAAAGGCCCTATGAGTGTAATTACTGTGGAAAAACCTTTAGTGTGAGCTCAACCCTTATTAGACATCAGAGAATCCACACTGGAGAAAGACCCTATCAGTGTAATCAGTGTAAACAGAGCTTCAGCCAGAGAAGGAGCCTTGTTAAACATCAAAGGATTCATACAGGTGAGAAACCCCATAAATGTAGTGACTGTGGGAAAGCCTTCAGTTGGAAATCACACCTTATTGAGCATCAAAGAACTCACACTGGTGAGAAACCTTATCACTGTACCAAATGTAAGAAGAGCTTTAGTCGAAATTCATTGCTTGTTGAGCATCAAAGAATTCACACTGGGGAAAGACCCCATAAATGTGGTGAATGTGGGAAAGCCTTTCGATTAAGCACATACCTTATACAACACCAAAAAATTCACACTGGCGAGAAGCCTTTTCTTTGTATTGAGTGTGGAAAAAGTTTCAGTCGGAGCTCATTCCTTATTGAACATCAGAGGATCCATACTGGTGAAAGACCTTATCAGTGCAAAGAGTGTGGGAAAAGTTTCAGTCAGCTTTGCAACCTTACTCGTCATCAGAGAATTCACACAGGAGACAAGCCCCATAAATGTGAGGAATGTGGAAAAGCCTTTAGTAGAAGCTCAGGTCTTATTCAGCATCAGAGAATTCACACCAGGGAGAAGACTTATCCATACAATGAAACTAAGGAAAGTTTTGATCCAAATTGCAGTCTTGTTATACAGCAGGAAGTCTACCCTAAGGAGAAATCTTATAAATGTGATGAATGTGGGAAAACTTTTAGTGTTAGTGCTCATCTTGTACAACATCAAAGAATCCACACTGGTGAAAAGCCCTATCTATGTACTGTCTGTGGGAAAAGCTTCAGCCGGAGCTCATTTCTTATTGAACATCAGAGAATCCACACTGGTGAGAGACCCTATCTGTGCAGACAGTGTGGAAAAAGCTTTAGTCAGCTTTGTAATCTTATTCGACATCAGGGTGTTCACACAGGTAATAAACCCCATAAATGTGATGAATGTGGAAAGGCCTTTAGCCGGAACTCGGGTCTTATTCAGCATCAGAGAATACACACAGGAGAGAAACCTTATAAGTGTGAGAAGTGCGACAAAAGTTTCAGTCAACAGCGCAGTCTTGTCAACCATCAGAAGATCCATGCAGAGGTGAAAACCCAAGAAACCCATGAATGTGACGCTTGTGGTGAAGCCTTTAATTGCCGTATTTCTCTTATTCAGCATCAGAAATTGCACACAGCATGGATGCAATAAATGTAGAGCAATACATAAGCTCAATTTGATTTGAGACTAGTACCCAAGTGCAGTTTTAGTATGGCTCAACATGGGTCAGATTTAGTGATAAAGCAAATTCTCCTTGGCCTCAGGCAAATAGTTTCTAAAGATTCTGTGAATAGTGGACAACTGCCCATGAGCATTTGACTTCCCTTACTCTTTGATGATCGTAGAGAAAGACTTGGTAATTTATCTAAGTATCTTTAATAAATCTTTCAGCAGAGAGATTAAACCTAGGTTCAGAGCATGGGTGCTCTGAGGGACAAAGTTGGATTAGTATAAGGGAGCTGGAGCAGCTGATAGTGGAAAACAGAATAATGATTCAAAGAGTCTTCTGTCACCATGTCATATTGTGGTTCTTTCAGTTCCATGATATGTTTGGCTCTGCATGCCAAAGTCCAGTGATTAAGCATATATAAGTTGTCAAGGAAACAAAGCCCAAATGTTTTTAAAACAAGTATACAGTTTTTGTCATTGTTTAAGAAAGCCAGTTGTTTGGCATGTGAGTTAAAGGCAGTTCCAATGCCTGATGGTTCCCAGATCTATGAAATGAGTGGACCATTAACCTTACATGTAAAGATTATGTTAGTAATTAAGAAACCTAACAAAGGTGTTACCAAGGAACCTTTGGGAGTGCCTTTTTTGTTTTTCAAGATGGACCCAAAAAAGTGGAGGAAGATATTGTTCTTTTGTGCCCTCCTACCTGTGAGAGATATTTGTAGTCCTATGTGAATGAGCTTATCCCTCCACAACCAGGTGCATATGAAAGTGTACATATTATGACTGCCAAGTATTGGAAATGAAAAGACCTGGAGTCTATGCTAGGAAGCTGAGATATTTTGGTATTGCATTGGTTTTTATGGTAACTAGGTTTTGCATGCAATTAAAAATCCTTATTTCTTGTTCTAGGGCTTCCCTTAGTTAATGGTTATTATAAACCTATTAATTCATCTGTTTTAACCATTAAAACCTGTTTTGTTTTTAGCTTTGTGTAAGAGTTGTTACTTTAGTGTAAAACCAATTCTGTCAAACGCATTACTGTGTTTTTAAAATTAGAATCAAAAATAGGAAGGAAATAGCTGTCATTTGTTCTGTGTGTGACTAGTTAAGCTTTTCTGGAGTAGCTCAATTAAGCCCAGGTTCTTCAGTTTCTGAGTATAGAATTCCAAATTAGCAGAATTCTGTAATTCCAGCTTCCTAATAGTTTGAGCAAATGACCCCTCCTTCTCCTGTACCTCAGTCATTCCAAAAATTACCTCCAGACTTTCATCTTCCCATCTCTTTATGTGTGTACCTGCATGTGAGTGTGGAGATTATGGTACATGTATAGAAAGATACATATCTTTGTGCACTCCCTTATTCAAATTAGGTACTCATAGTTACTATACAGTTGACATTTCAAAACAATTTGTAGTCCAAGGAAAAGTACAAAAAACAACATACTGCACCTGACTCATATAAAATTTTCCTGCCCTGGACCTTCCCAGTTGTACTTATTTTACACTAGTGGTTCCCAGATCAGGATCTCAACTAATGAGGTTCTTAGACCTGTTCTCAGTATTTTAAAAATCTATTGTGTATGTTTTCACTGCATGTACACTGAAACACATTTCTTTGCTTTTTGTTGAAGTCACATCAGTTTCATGTACGGTTATATTCCATAGCAGAAGCACTGGCTGCTGTTGACCTCATAGTAGTTTGAGGCTATGGTTGTATGAGGTAGTCCTACATAATTTTTAATATCCTTGGACATGAATCTGGAATTTATAGAAATTTCTTAATTTTAAAATCCTTGGACAACTCAGAACTCCAGTAACAGTGAACAGTTCTTGACTGCATATACACATCATTGCTTATAAAAAACATAGAACCCTAAAAAATCATTTTTTTAAAATTATACTTTAAGTTCTGGGATACATGTGCAGAATGTGCAGGTTTGTTACATAGGTATACATGTGCCATGGTGTCATTCTGCATAGTGCCATCGCAGAAATTTTCTTCCATTCTGTAGGTTGCCTGTTCACTCTGATGCTAGTTTCTTTTGCTGTGCAGAAACTCTTTAGTTTAGTTAGATCCCATTCATCAATTTTGGCTTTTGTTGCTTTAGTGTTTTAGTTAATTTTGGTGTTTTAGTCATGAAGTCTTTGCCCATGCCTATGTTCTGAATGGTATTGCCTAGGTTTTCTTCTAGGGTTTTTATGGTTTTAGGTTTTACATTTAAATCTTTATTCCATCTTGAGCTAATTTTTGCATAAGGTGTAAGGAAGGGGTCCAGTTTCCGCTTTCTGCATATGGCTAGCCAGTTTTCCCAGGACCATTTATTAAATAGGGAATCCTTTCCCCATTGCTTGTTTTTGTCAGGTTTGTCAAAGATCAGATGGTTGTAGATGTGTGCTGTTATTTCTGAGGCCTCTGTTTTGTTCCATTGGTCTATATATCTGTTTTGGTACCAGTACCATGCTGTTTTGGTTTCTGTAGGCTTGTAGTATAGTTTGAAGTCAGGTAGCGTGATGCCTCCAGCTTTGTTCTTTTTGCTTAGGATTGTCTTGGCTATGTGGTGGGTTCTTTTTTGGTTCCATAGGAAATTTAAAGTAGTTTTTTTCTAGTTCTGTGAAAAAAGTCAATGGTAGCTTGATGGGAATAGCATTGAATTTATAAATTACTTTAGGCAGTATGGCCATTTTTACCTAAAAATTCATTTTTAAAAAAAAGCAGTGCTGGGCGTGGTGGCTCACGCCTGTAATCCCAGCACTTTGGGAGGCCGAGGCAGGTGGATCACCTGAGGTCAGGAGTTCAAGACCAGCCTGACCAACATGGAGAAACCCCGTCTCTACTAAAAATACAAAATTAGCCAGGCGTGGTGACACATATCTGTAATCCCAGCTACTTGGGAGGCTGAGGCAGGAGAATCACTTGAACCTGGGAGGTGGAGATTGCGGTGAGCAGAGATCGCACCATTGCACTCCAGCCTGGGCAACAACAGCAAAACTCCATCTCAAAAAAATAAAAATAAAAATAAAAAAGTTAAGTGTCCATTTCTGTTTCCCAAGAAAATTATAAAAGTATGCAGAAGGCTCTAGAGAGGGAAATGAAGTATCTAGAAGAGAAGGGAAGAAAAAAGTTAAATCAAGAGGAGGGTGCTTAAGATGAAGCTAAAAGATGAGTACCAGGGAAGATAAATAGTATCTGAAGGCGGGGGAATTGTGAGATAACTGGTAGCTACAAATTGAATTCCTGATTGCTTGGTGAATTGGGAATGTGACAGGAGGTAAGGCTGCCCTTCTGTAAGGGCAGATCAAGAGTTGTCATGCTAGGGAGACTATTCTGCCTAAAATTCTGGGGTACTATTTTGTGTTTAAGTATGCTATGTATATTAAAAGGGTACATATTTGAAGTGTTCGGCTCTTAGTTTTCACTACTAAACACCTGTGTAACCAGCACTCAGCTTAAGAATAACATTACTAGTACTAGAAATACTTCCCTTGTGCAACTTTCCAAATATTAAACCCAAAAATCCTATGTTCCATAGGGAGGGAAAGATTTGGGACCAGGTTTTTTGGTTGTTTGTGTTTTTTGTTTGTTTTTTAAATTTTCACCTGATTCTTATTAAGTGTGCAAGGACCATGGTTCTTGACCTTCCTTAGATTTGTGGATCTTAATTCTCAGAAAATTGCGCATGGAAAATATTGTGCCAGGGCCTTGTTTCTGTGTAAAAACTTCAAGAGGTCTTTAAAGTAGTACAGTTGAGAGATTATGGTGCTTCAACTAAGGCAGTGGGAATGTGAGAAAGATGAATTTGAGAAATATTTATAAACAGTGAGATTTGGTTGCTAATTGGATGAGAAAACTAAGGAAGAGTAAAGATTCAAAGTCAGTTTGGGTTGTTGGTGCTCTTATTCAATGAGACAGGACAAAAAAAAAGTGTACCTTGTATGGAATGAGGAGATCACTAACATTTTGAATGTGTGTTAGTCTGTCTGTGAGATAGTAAAGATGTCCAGAGGCAATTGCAGATATGGATATGGTGCTCAGGAAAAAGAACTGGGCTAGAAATTGATTTAGGAATTCACCAGTGTTTAGACATGAATGGATTAAGCTTTAAGGAAAGAATACAGCAAGAAAAGAAGTCCAGAGATGGAATCCTAGGGCCTACTTTGTTTAGTGGGTAGGCAAGGTGCAAAGGAGACAGGAATAACCAGAAGTATGGGAAACCCAACATGTAGTGATAACTTCTGTCGGAAAGTGATCCAGAAGCATGCTGCAGAGAGGCTGAGGAAGGGTTGAAGAGTGTCTTTTGGATTTGATAATTAGTCATTAATGGGTTTCTGTAAGAACAGCTTCTGGAGTTAGGAAGAGCCAGTTTTCAGGGGGCTAAATGGTGTCCGGAGAGTAGATCATCAGCTCCCAAATACGGTCAATTCTTAAAAATTATTCTACATTCAAGTAGCAAAAATAATGATAATATAATATCCTTGTTAAAAAAAAGATAAATTGATTATTAGAGATCCTTGTTCTGAAAGTATGCTCTTTCCTAAAAAAAAAAAAAAAAAAACTAAGTCCTTTTTTGAAATAATAGTGATTTGGGAGGATAGTCTGTTACATTTATGTCTTTACTTAAAAAAAATGGCAACCCTTTATTGGTTATTCTTTTTACTTGCTTAATTTTACTGTTCTATAAAGTTAGAGAATAAAAGTAGATTACTCGTCTGTGAGTACAAAGAGGGCTGTAGATGGAGATTAAAGAAAAATTTGAGTGGATAGCCAGTTGAGGGATAGGTTGAAGATAGAGGAGAGCAGAATGAAAGTTGATTAAGTTATTAGATATGCTGAAATGCGTACTAACAGTTATGGAAAGATTTTCTTCAGGGACCTTCTTCAACTTGGGAGAAAATGAAAGAGGACAGATTTGGTGTCTGGTTGGGTGAGGGGAAAATCAAATTCACTTGAGATGACCCATTAAAAAAAAAATCAAATCCATGTTTTGAGGATCAGGGAAGGAAGATGGGTGGACATGGTTAGGCGTAGAGTTAGGTGTCTTGTCAATAATAAAGGTTTGAAGGAGCAGCTGGGGATAGTTGGGATTTTATTTAGAGCCCAGCTGAAGTAAAACTGTTTTAAAAATTATTTTTATTTTTTACTCCTATGGCATCGCAAGAAGTAAAACTATGAACTTAATGAAATTACTCATATTTCTTCTGGGTATTAACATATGAGACAATTTTGAAAGAAAATTGAGCTTAAAGTAGATGAAGCAAATTATTGATTAGATAAAATTTTAAAATGAGCAGGTAAAAGGGGTCTTTGGTGGCAAAAAGAAAAACAGGCAAAAATATTCTATTTCTCTGTAATTTTGATGAGTGAGGCATTTCACATTCATCTGTCTTCCTAAAGGAGGATGTCATCAGCAAATCTAGGGGCACACAGAACACACCTAGTTGAGCACAGTGCTTGCAGAATAAATTTCAACTCCTTTTTTGAAAACAATCCAGTCCAAGTATTCCAATCCTTTTTTTTAAAGTTGCTGTTCCCAGTCAGTATTTGATATATTTGACATTATTCTCCCTCATTCAAAAGTGTTTTGTGGCCCCAGGTGGGTAGTAGGGGTGGGTTGATTGGTTTCTTTAAAATTAAGTCCGTCTATAACCATAATACACAGACAAAGAGAAGAGAGACACATTTGCTTTACTGCACAAGTGGGACAAGATCAATTAACATGTATTTAAAAAATTTAAAAATACCTGCTAGGTGTTATGTCAGTTTGATAGTTGCGTCAAGCAGCCCTTTATCATCAAGGAGACTTGAAGACTTGAGGAATGCATAGTAAGCCACGTGTGTTACATGAGACAGGGGGAAAATCACCTAACTTTCCAAAACACTGAATTTTGATTGTGTGATTTCATTCACACAAATAAAACATGGTGTGTGTGTCTTGCCTGTGTTGTTGCCTATCTGGGAGCCATGCTCTAAGAACAGGTTTCTCATGTTAGTCCACTGGCTGAGGTAAATCCTCACATTACATGACAGTCATTGTGTCCCTGCAACCCAGAAGTGCACTCTGAACAGGACAGAGTAACAGAGCAGGAGAAGGAAAAGTTGTACATAGCTGCAGAAGGTTGCCTTGACCTTGATTATCTTAGGAGGGCAGAATACATTTCTCTCACACTTGAGACCCTGGGCTACTGCCTAGCCCTGGCTGTTCTGAACTGCTCAAAGAATTAGTGCTATGTTTAGAAAATGCCCTATTTTTCTTTTCTTTAAATTATTATTATACCTTAAGTTCTAGGGTACATGTGCACAATGTGCAGGTTTGTTACATATGTATACATGTGCCATGTTGGTGTGCTGCACCCATTAACTCGTCATTTACATTAGGTATATCTTCTAATGCTATCCCTCCCCCCTCCCCCTGAGGGCCCTGAACAGGCCCCAGTGTGTGATGTTCCCCTTTCTGTGTCCATGTGTTCTCATTGTTCAATTTTCACCTATGAGGGGGAACATGGGCTGTTTGGTTTTTTGTCCTTGAGAAAGTTTGCTGAGAATGATGGTTTCCAGCTTCACCCATGTCCCTACAAAGGACATGAACTCATCCTTTTTTATGGCTGCATAGTATTCCATGGTGTATATATGCCACATTTTCTTAAGCCAGTCTATCATTGATGGACATTTGGGTTGGTTCCAAGTCTTTGCTATTGTGAATAATGCCGCAATAAACGTGTGCATGTGTCTTTATAGCAGCATGATTTATAATCCTTTGGGTATATACCCAGTAATGGGATGGCTGGGTCAAATGGTATTTCTAGTTCTAGATCCTTGAGGAATCACCACACTGACTTCCACAATGGTTGAACTAGTTTACAGTCCCACCAACAGTGTAAAAGTGTTCCTATTTCTCCACATCCTCTCCAGCACCTGTTGTTTCCTGACTTTTTAATGATCGCCATTCTAACTGGTGTGAGATGGTATCTCATTGTGGTTTTGATTTGCATTTCTCTGATGGCCAGTGATGATGAGCATTTTTTCATGTGTCTTTTGGCTGCATAAATGTCTTCTTTTGAGAAGTGTCTGTTCATATCCTTTGCCCACTTGTTGATGGGGTTGTTTGTTTTTTTCTTGTAAGTTTGTTTCTTTGTAGATTCTGGATATTAGCCCTTTGTCAGATGAGTAGATAGCAAAAATTTTCTCCCATTCTGTAGGTTGCCTGTTCACTCTGATGGTAGTTTGTGTTGCTGTGCAGAAGCTCTTTAGTTTAATTAGATTGAAAATGCCCTATTTTTCATCTACCACACTACTCAGCCCGGCATGTATGTAAGTCTTTTTGAGAACTAGGTAAAGAATTTTGAGCTTTCATTTGTCCCAAGCACTTGCCTATCAGGTTGCAATGAAACAGACTTTATTAAGATGATAATGGCTATGCTACATACAAGGAATTGTTTGTTGTTTTCTCTTGTCTAAAGATGTCATGTCTACTCACCTACCCGACCGACAAAAGGCCAGGTGCGCTACATTGGATTGCTGTTATAGACACTTAGCTGGCTCCTGGTTCCCTCTTGATCCTCTACATTCTAGAAAGTAATTTTCAGCACTGCTCTTATATTCTTTCCTTAAATGTCATCCACAGTTCCCTATTTCTCATCACTTCAAGGCAAGACTTTCTAAGGTTCTCTGCCCATCCATGTGCCACTCCATTATGGGAAATCAGCCTCACCATTCCAGGTTGATTTCCCATAGTTCTCTCAACACATAGTTTGTACTCTAGTAAGGACACACAATTCATGTTCATTCTCATTCATGAGCCTTTACCTTTCTTCAAGAGCCAGCTGACAGGGAAAACTAATATTTATTCCCTACTTATGTATCTGGCACTGTATATAAAATATTGCCCTCAAAACAAGCCTCTTTTACAGATGTGAAGACTGAGGCTCAGAGAGGCTATGTTTCCCAAGATCACATAACTAATAATAAACTGCCTTCAGCTAATCCTCCCTCTTCCATAAAATATTCCTTCCCTTTTGATCTCAGCATCTAGCCTATGCCACTGCAATTTAGCACATTATTGTACCATTTTCTTTGTTTTCTAACTGCATGCTTGTCTTCCTCATTTCCATGGTAAGCATAGAAGGACCATGTAGTATCTTTACAGTGCTGAGCATACAGTAGGTGCTGCAAGAGTATTTGTTGGCTGATTTTTATGTATGTTATACATATTGATGCCCAGTACTGAGTGCTTTAGATTATTTCAAGAGGCTTAGACTGCTTTCCAGCCAGAATACCATGTTTATATGAGCAGTAGAAAAAGAGCTGTGACTGGCTGTGTTGAGCTTTGCATCACTTCTCTCTCTTAATTCATCCTCTCTTCAAAATGGGCTTTGGGATTGGTAGCATTGCATGAGCCCTCCAGGCTGCATTGAGCATGGGCAATTTATCTTTTACTCTAGAAATGTGGCAGATACTGTTCCAAGGGCAGTTCTCACAATTCTTTATCTGAAAGCCTTGAGGCCATATGTGCTTTGGAAATCAGAATTTTGTCAGATTTTAGAGAGTAAATATATTGTGTAACTCCCTCTGCAGGGTCTCAGGAAGCACCTGCAATCAAGCACATTAATATTGCTGCAACTCATCAAATGGAGTAAAGATGACAGATAGGTTCAGGTCAGATTTTGCCACCAAATAATTTACTAAAACTTATGAGAAAACTTTTGGTCTTCAGAGTTTTTAGATTTCAGAATTGTGAATAAGGGATTGTGAACTTGTTATTGAGATGTATTAACTCATTTATTCTTACGACAATATGTGATCATGTACTTTTTCTTATTTTGGTGAGGAAGAAACTGAACGACAGAAAGGTATAATGTGTCCAAGGTCACATGGCTAGTAAGTGACAGGGCCAGCATTTGAATCTATGCTGTCTGACTCTAGAACCTGTGCTTTGAAGAACCCTGAGTACTCCCACCCAAGAAGACTTTGTAAATCACACTAGCCTAAATCTCACCACCGACTGGTTATGTGACCTTGGAAAACTTCCTTAGCACGCTGGACCCCAGTTTTCTCCTCTGTCACTGTGAGTGACATCTAGACGGCAGCTGGAGTCTTTCATTCCAGCAGGGCTAAGTCAGATGATCTGGAAATCCCATTTCTGCTTTGCCTAAAGCTCACTCTAAGATTGCTGCAAGTTTCTAGAAGCTTATCTTCTCACTGTCACAGTTGTTTTTTGCTTCTCCTAAATTAATTCACATTATGAATCATTACGAATCATCTCAGTATATTGTTTTTATAAAGCATGCTGTAGACTCAAATGAGAAACTCAGTTCTTCCTCACAAGAAGACAGTATCTTTAGATTGCTTAATAATAGTTCTCCTCCTTCTCAAAAGCCCGTCACCTCCCCACAATTACATATTGCCCTAGCTTCTTTCCTGCCTCCTCCTTTTCCTTCCTTTCTCATTTCTTCCTCTCTTCCCTCATTTTCTTGCCCATTCCCTTCCTTCTTCCCTCTTCCCTCTTCAGAGTAAAAACAAATTCCTCTTTTTATTCTTTCCACAACTTAGTCATTTGTGTGTGTGTGCGTGTGTGGCCTTGGCTCTTGATAGCTTCAAAATGTCTTCTTCTCCCAGTGACTTATGAACGTATTTTCTTACACACAGGCAGTATCCTCTCTATGAATTCCTTTCCTTTTTGTTCTCCTGTAATGTCCAACCTAAATGCCATCTCTCCCTTTCCTACACCCAGACATCTGATTCTACACCCTGACTCTCCATCCCACTTACCAACCCCCAGTCAATGGTTTGTGTGTTTCTTGCTTAGCTATTTAAGCTTAATTGTCTGGTGTGCCCTAAAGCTGAAATTTCTCTATTTTTCATGTCTAGTACCAGGTTTTAGTTTTAGTAGGTGTTTAATAACTACTAAAGTAAATCTGAAAAAGTAACCAAAGCTGGGAAGTCACTAAATACTCACTCAGTAATCACAGCGAAATTGAACTCTGTAGCCTTGTAAAACACTTGTCTGCATATTACCGTGAAAGGAGGAAATTACTGGGATTAATATTTCAAAGACAACAGTAGTCCCTTAGTAGGGAAAATATATCAGATGATAGCCAGGAAAATGCATTATATAAATCCTCATTCCCAGTAAAATGTAATTCAGCCTTGACCAAAATATATAAGTAACTCATCCTTGATTATAAATTCATGGTTAACTGATAAGAATCTGAGAGGTTTCTTTAGATACCTCTTAAAATATCTAAAGAATTCAGCGATGCTGAGTAGGATCTAGATAAAAACTATCTGGCAGAAAAGCTTTGTCTCACAAGGTGTTACCTACCTGCTTTTAGGACAGCTTGGCACATAGTAGGAGATGAAGTGCTTGATGATTGACTGAAATGTACAAGGAGAAATGTACAAGACTACACCACGGGTGGCAGAGATATTGAACACAGCCTGTCACCTTGCCCTGTAAGATCTCTGGCTGTGTATCCACTTTTTGAGCAAGAGACTTGAGTTCAGAAGACCTGAATTTTAATCTCTCAGCTCTGCTATAAATGTGGGATCCTCAGTAAGTAATTTTACTTCTCTGGACTTGGTTTTATCACCTGTAAAATGAAAACCGTGGGCTTAATAGATCTCTCATATAGGCTTGAGTTGCTTGTATGACTGTCTGTAGTTGTTTTTAGAAAAGTAATGACAAGTACATGGAAATAAATATTCAAATACTGTAGAGGGCAGGTAATAAGGAAATGTCATCTTTCCTGTGCCCTGACTCCCAGGTCTTTCTCCCAGGTCTTAGAGTAAGCCCCTTTGGCTAATTCTGTCTTATTCCTCTAAATAATATGTTAAGTCTCTGTTTCTTCATTTGTTAATCTACACAATACCATTTGTCTTTGTATTATTCAAGGTAAGAAATTTAGCATACTACCATCAATATTTTAATTTTAGATATATATTTTTATGATTTACATCCATTTCTTTTATTACTTAAATAGAATTAAAGCACTATTTCTTAACCCATCAGTTTTAAGTAGTATTCCTGACTCTCTTTGCTTTCTTCCACTTCTCCTCCCCCTTATATTTCCTAGCTTCTGTCAGTTAAATCATCACTTTTATATTGTCCAAAGTTATAATATTTAAATTCTCTTTTATAACTCTGGTTGTCTTAAGTGCTGTAACTATAGGTTAATTCTGAAAATTGAAAGTCAATACAGTATCATTATGTGAATATTATTTACTGCAAAACTACGAAATATGCCTGGACGTGCAGATGACAAGGTAGTCCTGTTTCACCAAACCTGGGCCACTTGAACAAGAATGCTCCAAGCATTGAAGTCACATTAATTCTCTTATTATACTCCACAAGTTGCTCAAAATCATTCTACATTTTTAGCTGGCTTCGTATTGTGAATGGCTTTAATTTTCAAATACCCTCAAACTTGAAATTTAGATTGGTAGTTCTCAAACTTGACTGTACATTGGAATTACTGAGGGAGCTTTAAGAAATCTAATAGTTAGAGGATCCCAAGTCTAGGGTTTCTGATTTAATTGAGCTGGGGTGTGGCCTGAGCATCTCAGTTTTTAAAATTTTGCGGCTTGATTCCAATGACTAGCAAGAGTTGAAGACCTTTACTGTTGAAACCCAGTCATGTCTAGTAGAGTCAAAAGTAATGAAATACACTGAGTCTTTGGACAGCAAGAGCAGAAAAGTGAAACCCGATAGCAGCTGAAGGTTTATAGAATATTTATTTCTTTTTTGGTTGCAGCTATCTCCTTCCCAACCTACCACTGCTAAGACTGTTTCATAAGATGCACTTCTCTACACTCAGCTAATGAGGTGTTTCAATCAGCAGTTGTTCTTTGGATGAGGAGCCGATATTGTTTTAAAGCCTATTATTTTCTTGGGTGGGTATTCTGGAGCATGGGGAGCTGAAAGTGTTGCAAGGAAACTGCTGTGTGAAATTTGATCAGGTCCTTGGTATTCATTTTTATGTTTCAATAACTGATTTATTTTTTCCCCCTTGTACTTAAGATTTAACATGTGTTGTATTTCCAGCAGTTCAAATCTAATTGTGTCGAATTTCCAGGATTGGAGGAAAAGTTGCTCCCTTTCAGCCCTCCTACTAGAAGCACTGGAGCTAGGCTGGCGGGCATTGGACCCTAGTAGGTATAGCAGGCTGTGAAGAGCGACTGGGTGGAAGCAGCCCCAGAAGAACCCGTGTGAACATACTGTCCTTTGGCCGCCTGGCAGTTAGCCTAGAAGACAAATATGAGAGAGGAGACTGGTTAGAGTAAATGTGACCCCACCTTGACCCTGTCTGCCTCTCATGGGAAACCAGTCAAACCTTCACTCAGATTTTCTTCTTTTTACAGCAATGTTGCTGAATATTGCTGGGGATACCATCCCCTTCTATAAAGTATCTCCCCTTTTTATCCCAGTTTTCTGAGCATTTCTTTGGTAAGCTTGAGGTTTGTGTCAGTTACTGGGGAAATCTCTGTTCAGTACCAACAATATTGCAGCAACAGTACTAGAAACTAAAGTTGAAAAATTTCTCACTAGTATAGTACACTATACCAAAAGAAAAACATGTTTATTTTAAAAACATTTCCATTTTCTACCTATATTGGTCTAGAAGAATATGTAATTTTTATTTAGTTATTGTAGTATCATTTGCTTTCCTGTATACATTCCAGTTAAAGATAAATTCAGAATTATGAAACTTACGACAATATTTGAATGTCACTCAGTGGTACCACTTCTTCCAGTCAGTGTTGCTATTGTCTGTTCTCTCCAGGACTTATTTCTACATTTTACATCAATGGTTCTCCAACTGTGTTTCATGGTCTACCAGCATCCCTTAGGAACATGTTAAAAATAGAAATTCCCTGGCCTTACCCCTGACCTACTGAATTAGAAACTCAGTGGGTGAGACCCATAATCTGCATTTTTAACAAGCGCTTCAAGTGGGGGTAGGGGAAATGAAAAGAGGTTGGTAATGGGTACAAAAATACAGTTAGGCAGAAGGAATAAGTTCTAGTGTTTGATACAACAGTAAGATGACTATAGTTAACAATGATTTATTACATATTTTAAAATAGCTGGAAGAGAAGATTTGGAATGTTCCAAACCCAAAGAAATAATAAATATTTGGAGTGAATACCCTAATTATCCTGATTTGATCATTATACATTATATGCATATATAAAAAATCACAGATACCCCACAGATCTATACAATTATTGTGTGTAAATATAAAAGATCATGACAACAAAACCAAAATCACCTTCAGGTGATTCAGATCCACACTGGAGCTTGGGAAGCACCATCCTTGATGATAAACTCAGCTTCCCTTCTTCTGTGTGGATGTCCCTGATGACCTGCGCTTTCACAATCCCTCCATCATGTAAGCTAGGTCTCCTCAGTCCATCAGCCACACAGCAGCACTGCTGCACCCTGCTTTCCACAGTCAAGGTAAAGCACTACTTTGAAAATCTGATACCTCTCTTATGCCTGTGAGATGATGATTTAGCTTCCCTGGGGCCTTCCTTCCCTTTAGGGCCTCATCACCACACTTCTGACTACTCTTGATTCCTTGCCTAGCTTCCTCTATGGTCAGCAAGCTAACAGAGGCTATCGGTAAAATTTGTCACTCTTCTACCTTCCTATTAAACTTTCACTCTTCTACCCCGCTATTTTGCGTTCTGAATCTTCCTGCATGCTTTAGACTGCTGTTAGGAAAACTCAGGAATGAAGCTACCACACACTCACTCTTATTTCAGCTGCACATTACCTGATGCTTGGCTATGTCTGGCCATAACGTCCGATCAATTTCCTAGCAAGTTCCTTTAACTGCTTTTCTACGCTTTCCGACTGTCAGTATTGAAATTTCCATTTCTTCATCATTCTCAGCAGATACCCTCAACTGTAATCAGTCATCAACTGCTACATCTCTTGACTTATATAGAGCTGATTCCAACTGTATTCTCTTTTCTGCCTCTTCCCTCCTTTTTGTCTTACACCAGCTGTGCCACCTATGCTTAATATTGAGTCTCATGCAGTCCTGCTCCTCTAAGTTCTTCTCCACTCAATTATCCCCACTCTCCTCATCTTTACTGTCTCCTCTGGCTCCTCTTTCTTTACATTTAAACATGCCAAGCTCTCTCCTATTTGGCTAAACTCCAAGCTTCCTGGAGGACATGGCTATGTCTCATTTGTTCACCCCAGTTCTTGGCTCATAAAGCGTATTTTAAAAATTTTGGTTATTATTTGAATAAAAACTTTGTTGGTCCTCATTTCTCCTGGCAACCTTTCTGGGTCTTTTTCTGAAAAACTTCTTGAGTGGGCACCTTTCCTTTCCTCTTTATTGAAACTGTTTCAGTGAGGGTCACTGGTATGCTCCTAAATGCCAATCTCAGGGTCTTTTCTTGGCCTTTCTTTTGAATCTCTCTATAGCATGTTATTATTGGCCCTTTGAAATTGTTTACCCGGCTGGGTGTGGTGGCTCATGTCTGTAATCTCAGCACTTTGGGAGGTTGAGGTGGGCAGATCACCTGAGGTCAGGAGTTTGAGACTAGCCTGGCCAACATGGTGAAACCCCATCTTTACTAAAATATACAGAAATTAGCCAGGTATGGTGGCGCATGCCTCTAGTCCCAGCTACTTGGGAGGCTGAGGCAGAAGAATTGCTTGAATCCAGGAGGTGGAGGTTGCAGTGAGCCGAGATTGTGCCACTGTACTCCAGCCTGGGTGACAGAGTAACACTCCATCTCAAAACAAACAAACAAACAAACAAATAAACATGAAAGAAAGAAATTCTTCTGTCTTTATTCCCAGAATGCTTGGTTCACCCTACAATATAATCGCTGCTTTTCTTGGTTGCTTCTCTTCTTCATCTTCCCAAAATAAAAAGTATCCTAGGTTCAGTTCTTGGTCCTCTTATCTCCTTCCCTCTGAAGTGTTTCTGTTGAAATTGTCCTTCAGTCTCCTGTCATCAACTATACTCTAGTGTGGATAATTCAAAATTCTCTCTAGCCTCAATCCTCATACTGACCTCTACTGCCACATTTTCAAATGCCTAATAGACACTATCGGTAGATACCTTCTTGGCCCAAAGAAAACAATGCTTCTCCGTGTTGGAAAGTCAAGCCCCAAATGTGAACATCATCAAGTAGATAAGAGGTGGCAGCATCTTACCATGGCCCGCTTCATAAAAGCCTCCTGGGTTGCCTCCTTGTTTGCAGCCTTGCCACCCCAGGCAGCCAGTGCACTGGCCTGCAGGGCCCGTCCATAAGAGAAACTTAGTTTCCAGGGCTTTGGTAGAGGGCAAAGGTTGATAGCATTGAGGTTGAGAGTGGCATCCTCTTCACTCATGCCACCAGACAAAAAGCAGATGCCTGGTAGGAGAGAAGCCATTTCACTCTATTAGTCCCACCTTATATACCCTGCTTGAGAAAGCAAGCAATGAACCTACCAGAAAAGTAATGTCTCAGTCTTTTCTCTGCTTAATTTGCCTTAAAGCAAACTGAGAAATCAGTTTGCTTTTGCTGAAGCTAGTTGGGCTAGAGATAAGTGCTTTAAATACGTAAGGAAGGCAGTGAAATGTTGAAGAAATACATGGATTGTGGGCATTTGGGCAGACTTGGGATGCTTGGTATTCTGAAGTGGGAGAAGAAGTGCTGGCTGCCTGTGAGATAACAGAGGTTTGTTTCATGAATAGAAGCAGATTTCTGGACAAACAGAAAGCTTGTGGCTCTCCAAAGAATGAGGGCTAAGACCTTGAGTTAGAGAAGAAAGAAGGCCTTACCAGGAACAGCTGCAGGAACAGTACGGTGGAGAGCTGTTACGGTGGCCATAGCTACTTGTTCTGGAGTATACTTCTTGGTGCAGGCATGTCCAGCAGTCACCATGTTGGGCTTTAGCAGGGTGCCCTCCAGGTAAACATGATGGTCATTCAGGGCCTTGTAGACAGCAGCCAGGACCTGAAGGACAAGAGGTCCCACCAGGTGAAACTCAAAGCTAGTCATAGAGCCACTTGACCTTGGCACATTTACACTGCAGGGAGGCAGGATGAAGGAATTCTTATTTGTTGCTTGGCAAAAGCTTCTGAACCAATCTCCAGGCCTCATTAGACCAATGTGTTGCAATCCATAGCCACTGAGCACAACTAAACTGGCCTGTCTTCATCACCCCTAATCTAGCTTCTCATTCACTGCATGAATGACAGGCATGGCTCTGCTTCCTAGAAGCCCTTCATTCCTTTATTTCCATTACTCCCTTGGTCAATGTCATTCCTTATTGAGACTGCATTGCTTTAGCTATTTGGGGTCATCTAAACGGGCCTCCACTGTCCATGTTTACAGAAGCTGAGTAGTCATAGAATCATACATTTTAGAGGTGGAAGTGCTCTTAGATTGCATTTCAGTCCACATAATTTTCCAAGTAGAGAAACTAAGGTCAGGTGACATTATGACTCTCCTACTTTCTCACAGTGTATGAATAGAACCACCCTCTTTCAGATCCACTGTGGCTAATTTAGAAAGTCAGATGGAATAAAGTACTTTCTAATTACATCTTCTCATTTGAGCCACATGTCTTATTTTAAAATTTCTTTGTGTACATGTAATTGAATTGAAGTCAAAAGAGATAATATGACTTGCCCAAGATCCCACAAGTGGAAAAGCGGATTCTCCAACCCAAGTCTTGGTACTGCAACTCCTGTGCTTTTTCTATATGGAGTATACCATGTGCCAAAAAGGTGAAGGGCTGATGAGCACCTCCCTACCTTCTCTATGCTATCCATCCTAAAGGCTACTTCAGATATAACAGCTGTTATATGTTAAGTAACAGCTGTTACCTAAAACTAAGATTTTTCAACTAGAATTGGGGCCTTCATATTTAAAACTTACCTTCTCAGTAACATACTGGCAGTGTTCCAGGTCATGGTCTCCATCAGGAATTACCTCTGGTTCAACAATAGGTACCAGTCCATTCTAAAAAGGAAAATCAAGGAAGCAAAAGTGAAGCTGTGCTCACTGTTATCCTTTCCTTAGGAGGAGATTCAACAGTTGCAATTGGTATAAATTGAAGCCATTATGGAGAAATACTACATAGATGACTTAAAGACAGTAGAATTTTTCAGAATGAGATAAAAAATAAATACAAACCCGTAATTACTGTATTTCTTTCTAGAGATTATTCTAGCTGCCTCAGAACCTAGCTACTGCCTTTTTAGGGCATCTAAGCATAAATCATTAAGAAAGATGTCTCTAAGTTGGGTTAATGAAGAAATTCAAGCAGTGTTTAGAGTTCTAATTGGGGATCTCCAGCTGTCCACAACTCTAGTAACCCCAACATAGTACTCACAGAAGAAAATCAAACTTAACTCGGACCCAGAGACATTTTAGTATGTGTTGGAAACTTTAGCATCTGGTCACCATCCTCCAAAGAATTATTTGGATTGGAACTCGGTCAGAGCTGTCACTCTTCAGCTAGGAATCTAAGAGGATCATGTCTTGGATGTTACGGAGTATAGACAACCAAGTTCCCTGCCCTCAAAAGCCCGATCACTTATAAGACAGCTTATGGAGCTTTGACAGAGGGCAGCAGTTGATGGCATTATCCTTTGAACTCATAGCTTAGTTGGACTCCTACTGGCTTGTGGGACCAAATCTTTCCCTACCACAGTTGGCTATAGCAAAAGTTGTGAAAAATGCCACTAGGATATACTGGTGAGGGAAAAGGAGGTCCATTTGTAGTTATAGTATAATTGAAAAGAAAAGCTCTGAAGAAAACTCTAGCCTACTCTTTTTCAGCCCAAGGGGAAGGCAGAGCACCTGCTGACAGATGCTGGCGTAGCGAGCCAGGGCGTTGGCGTTTTCCTGGATAGCGAGGCTGGATGGACACTGGTCGGCAATCCTCAGCACAGCACGCCACTTCCCAAAGTCAACACCATCTTTCTTGTACTGAGCACAGCGCTCTGAGAGGCCATCAAGCCCTGCAAGTCACAAAAGAGAGAAAGGCTTCTTTGTACCTTTGTACCTGATCCATGGGGCTTCTAATAAAGGGAAGGAGTTCTCCCTTTGCTTAGCTTTCAATCCACTGTGCTTGAGGATTGAAAACAGCCAAGCATATCAGCATTAATCACAACACTGAACCAGAAGACTTAGATTTAATAAATAGTGTTTTGACATACATACTATCTACTCCATATATAGAATAGAAGAAACCAATAGTTAATATGATACTCATTTTACAAAGGTGGAAACTGAAGCTCCTAATGGTTAAGCAACTTTACCAAGTTTGAATTGCTCAAGAGTGACAGAGCTGGGATTCAAATTCTGCTTAGCTAACCCAATGTTGTGAGTTAATGCTTGTCTACTTGGGCAGAAGTACCTTGCAAAATTATCTAGGTAGCATGTGATAGAACCAGGATTCAAACCCAGGTGTGTCTGACCTCAAAGTGTGGGGACTTTCCACTCTACTGCTGCTAATTTTTTTCTAAAAATAATACTTCCGGGTGCAGAGTTTAATCTTCTTTGTCCAAGGTACTGTGGTAAGCACCTTATGTACATTGTCTAAGTTAATCCCCACAACATTTTGAGAAATCCCCATTTTGAGATAGGAGAACTGAGGCTCACAATATTTCAGTGACTGGCCCAAGGTCACAGTTGTTAAATGGAGGAGCTGGTATTGAAAACCAGGTACGTGTGGCTCTAAGACCAGTGTAATAGTTGTGTTTTGTTTTTCCTTGCTTCCTTCTTTACTTGCCTTCATTTCTAGCTTACACTGGCATGATTCATCTCAGTGGGCAATATCCTTACCTTGAATGGTGGTTTCTTTGTTTGTTCCTGCAAGAGGAGCACCTCCTTGGTCTAACTGTGGATACAAATAATTAACAGGTGTCAGATGTCAGGAAAACACAAGCAGAACTCTTGAACTAACTAACAGTTTGCATCTTTTACAGATCAAGGAGTTGAATTAGTAAAGTGTATTAGTGCGAGGGACCCAGTTCAGTCCATAGCAGAAGGGAAGTTACCTAGAAGGTACACTGTGAGAGTGTCTACCCTAACATTTATTGAGCACCTGCATGCACCAGGTGTTGTGTTAGTACAGGAGGTAAAGAGAATTAAGGATACAACCTCTACTCTCTACATAGCAAAGGCAAAAGTCATGAGCTTGAGAATTAGCCTAAACTGGCTCTGACCTTGCCTTGTTGTGTGGGCAAGTTATGTTACTCTTCGTAGTTCAGTTTTCTCACTTCATCTCTAAATAAGGGTAATAATTGAGTCTACTACCAGAGGTTATGAGAATTAAATGAATGCTTGGAATGGTAAAAACTCTTATTCAATGGATACTAGTTTTCACTTTTGAGAAGTTTATGCACTATTGGAAGACCTAGTTATAAGATAGAATAGTAAATGCTTCAATAATTATGATAGTTACCATTAACAATAATTACGCAATATAAACTTTTTCTTTTCTTTTTTCTTTCTTTTTTTTTTTTTTTAGACAGGATCTTACTCTTTTTTTTTTTGAGACAGGGTCATCCAGGCTGGAGTGCAGTGGTATGACCATAGCTCACTCCAGCTTCGACCTCCAGGGCTCAGGTGATCAATCTTTCCACGTCAGCCTCCTGAGTAGCTGGGACTACAGGCATGCACCAACACATCTGGCTAATGTTTTTGATTTTTAGTAGAGACAAGGTCCCACTGTGTTGCTCAGTCTGGTCTCAAACTCCTGAGCTCAAGCGATCCTCTTGCCTCTGCCTTCCAAAGTGCTGGGATTACAGCAGTAAGCAACCACGTCCAGCCTAGAAACTTTTAGTCATTTCATCCCTGTAAGAACATCATGAGGTAGATTCCCATTTTAAGAAATGAGATTGAGATGCAAAGAGATTAAGAACGTGTAGAAAATTTGAGTGAAAGAAGAGGGCACTGGAGGAAAACTCTAGAAGAGGATCTTGTTCTCTGTGGGAAGATGACGATGGAAAAGGGTGAGAAGAGAAATTTGATGAGGAGAATGTTCAGAGTGTTGGCCCTGTCCTTGCCAGTGTGCTTGGAGTTTGCCTAGGACAAAGCAGAAGTGAGGTGTGAATGGAGGTGTTCACCTTGATTCCCACCACGATCCCCTTTTCCTTGAGGATGTTTCTGAACAGCTTTCCCTGGCTGTCCTTCTGGTAGAGGGTCTCGTGGAAAAGGATCACACCCCCGATGCTCTGGTTGATGGAACTGTCCACAGAGAAGAGGATTTCTCGGAACTGCCGGCGGTTCTCTTCAGTGTTTTCCACCTTGATCCTCTGCAGGCGGTTCCCCATGGTACCTATGGTGGGAGGGCCAAGGGCAGCATAAGGAGCAAGCCAGGGCTTTCCTGTCACCCTTCTCCACATCATCTCAGAGACCCTCACCACAGTGGAAAGCAAGACTTTCTTTTTTCAGATAGTCAAAGCTCCTGCTTCAATTTTTTGTGTTCCAGGGAGAAGACCCTGGTTGCTCTCAGGTGGCTAGTTAGGGAGTATGTGGGCTGGGCATATAGAGGTCAGGGTGGAAGCCACCCTCAGGTCCAGGTGGATATGGAAGGCCCTCAGGCCTCTCTAGCCTCCCTGATCTGGTCCTCAGTCTTGCTGGATGTACATGCAGAAGGAGGGATGGGGCATGCTCTTGATTCTCAGGGTTCTGTGATTTTATGGCAGGCTGTGCAACTCTGCCACAGCTCTCCCTTGTGCCATCCTGAGGTTCTCCCATCCATAAGCCCTGTCCTATTCCAGATGCAGATACTTTCCTGCCCTTCTTGACTCAACTGAATTTAAACTGACTTTAAACTGACTTCTCACTAGTAGCAGATGCCTGTGTATCTGACCTTATGCTAGTTACTAAGTTTCTGGCCTTACTACAAGGCTGGATTCAAATGACCCCTGGCTTAAAATGAAGGGCTTGAGCCTCTTTCCTTGGCTTTCAGGAATGTGCCTACTACTTACAGGACTCAAAAGCTCTACGCTTACTGAGTCTTCTGCTCCCACTCCCGTGTACATAAACCTTTACTTCCATAAAGAATATGATTATCAAGTTGTTTTTGCTAAGTGTAGAAAAAATAATATGTTGTTATATGATGAGACTGCTTTTTACACTCACCTACAGATTCATCTGCAGCCAGGATCCCCTTTCCATTGGCAACAATGCTCTGGGCAATTTCTGAGAGCTCCTTCTTCTGCTCCTGGGTGAGGGCTGGAAATCGGTGGGCCATGGTGACAGGTCTGGAAAAGAGTGTGCGAGAGTTGTGCACAGAACCATGGGTGGCTCAGATGGATGCATGACCAAGACAGTTGGGGGTGCAGACATGCTGTGCAGACCTCTGTGACACCTCTGACCCATTTCCACAGGTGGATAAGCAAATGAGGTTTGTTTTTCCCCCATCACTTATTAGTTGCAATTAGCTGCAATGAATGAAGGTGGGTTACTGAATGTTCATGGTGATCCTAGACAGAATGCTTTCCAGCAGGCCTTTGGAATCACTAATCAAAACACTGAACCAGCTAATTAGTGACCCACTAAAATATGACTAATAGAGGGGACTGCAGTAATGGACTGTCTCTCTATTCTGTGGACTCCTGGTGCCACTGGATTTCCTTAATGGCTTGAGGCCAGGACAATGTCGCTCTTGACCTCTGCAGTTATCCTCTGCTTTGCTCTGTTAGTCTGTAGTTCCAACAGATTATTCTCCAGGAAACAAACTTGAAAGGAGAAATCTATACATAGTCTTAAAGCTAACTTCCATTTGGCCTCGGGCTACAGAGGGTTGGGTGCAAGTTTCCTTTTCCTTATATTCAACCCTCTATGAAACCACTTGGGGCAGACCAGAGAGGATGTTTCCTAAGTGCCTCTGGGCTTGGGTTTCTCACTGCCTATGAGGATGCTAAAGTTGTATGGCAGTCCCTGCTCCAGCTTCACTGCTTTAGCAAGGGGAGACTCTGGCTTGAAGACCCCCTAACCAAGCAGCCTCCACAGTGGTTGTGCTCTGAAGGAGATCGTTGCCCCTGTTCGGATGCCACTTTGGGTTAATCTTGAAAATGCAAGCTCAAAGAGCCCTCACTTTGGGTGTTACAAAGAGTGCTTTTTGCATAGGTTGGGCTACCAAAGAAAAAATGGTAATGAAGATTATCTTGGGTAGCTTCCTATCCAATGCCAGGGTCTCCTCCTTTCTCTAATCTTCTCTCCCTCCAATACACTCAGCACAGGGTGGATGCTCCATGTCTACATATTACTTCCCGGAAGCCCAGGGACACCTCAGGTCTCATCTGATCCATTGGCAATGAGGTAATTATAGCAGGTATTATCTTCATTAATTAATGAGCAAGCTAAGACGTAGAGAAGCTAACTGACTTGTTCAAGGTCCCAGCTAGGATGAAGCAGAGTCCCTATCCAGTCCTGTCCTCATGACAAATATATTTCTCCACATTTTCTGCATCCCTTCAGGGTAGGCTGTCAGTACTCTGTCCCTTGATATAAAAAGTCAGTAGCCACTGAGCTAATTCATGAGAAGGTATAACTGATGATCTCATTGTTGCCTCTCCATTTCAACAGAGGTTCTTGTCTTACCCCAAAAGAATGAAACTGCAATGCTGTTACTGGGGTAATAGGACAAGCTAGTGGGCAACAATTTCTAGAGAAGATGACCTTCTAAGGCCCATTATGTCCCAGCCACCAGCAGAGCATGTTTGCCCTGTTTATATATTAGCTGTAATATTGGAGTCAAAGACTTTTAGCTTTGGACCTGGCCTCCAGATCATCATGCTGAAAAAAGCCAACCTGGGTGTGATCTTCAGAGCAAGGTGCAAACTTTCTCTCTCAGTTTAGGCATTTGTACAAAGGAGTTGACAATTACCAAGAAAGAAAGATATTTTCTTAATGAAACAAAAGGGAAAATCAGCCCAATAATAATAATAACAACAAGTGATCATGTATTGTCAAGCACTCTGCTAATGGCTTTACATGCACTATATAATTTTTCTTGAAAATAATCCCAGAAGGTGGTTGGGCTCTTTTCCCCTCCCATTTAATAGATTAGGAAAGAATATAAGAGAGTGTAAATTATTTATCCAAGGACAAATAGCTAATAAGGCATCAAGTTGAGATAAGGGGCAGTACTCCTTTCCATTCAAGGGAAAGAGTGAGCTTGATGAAAAAAATGGCCTTTGGATGACTCCTAATGTCCTTGATGACACCCCAGAGTACCTTACGCTGTGGGTGATTACACCATGGACATTACTTATTCATAAACATCTGACACATTTATGTAGAGGTTTGCTGCTAGCAGATCAGACAGACCTAGTTTTAAGAACCAGCTCTGCCTAATCTAGCTGGAACCTCAGGCAAGTCAGGCAGCTTCCTGAGTCTCAGTTTACTATGGATTAAATGGTGATAATAACTGTTCTGGTTGTCTCTTTGCCAGGTAACTCAAATGCCATCTATGAGCACCCTGCTCATTGTAGTTGCTCAAAATATATTTGTTAAATTGCATGATAAACATGAAGATTCTTTACAAAGCACTATAAAATGCAATGTATTACTAATTCTCTTTTTTTAATGAAAAAAATCACCTAAGTGACCTCCATTTTTCTGTTTACTGCCTATTACTAAACTATTTTCTTCAATCTGGGTATGCTGACTCAACCAGAATAACAGTGAAAATGATAATTCAAACTAATACTGTTTACAGGGAGTTAAACTTCTACAGTGGGATTAAAGGTCTGTACCACGTTAGCACAAATGTCACCTCTCTGTTAATCATAAAACAGGGTCACAGGCCAATGTTCACCACAAGGAGACAGGAGGACAACCTGGGATGGGTAATGACAAAGAACGATTTCCGTACTCCTAAGCCTCTGCTCTCTCAGATCTCAAGCCAACTTTTTTCAGTGTGATGGAAGTTGTTCACATTATATTATTAAATGAAAAACAAGTTTCAGAGAAGTATGCAATATATACTGTCCTCCTATTTTTTAATTAAAAAATGATATATACCCATACTGTTTTTGTGTCTATATAAACAAAGAGTAACAACTCTGGAGTTACCTCTGAAGAATGGGGTAGGGTGGAGAGATTCTCACATTTCTTTTCTTTTTCTTTCTTTCTTTTTTATTTTCTGAGACAGAGTCTTGCTCTGTTGCCTAGCCTGGAGTGCACTGGCACAATCATGACTCACTGAAGCCTCGTCCTCCTGGGCTCAAGTGATCTTCCCACCTCAGACACCAAGCAGCTGAAACTACAGGCGCCTGCCACCATGCCCAGCTATTTTTTTTTTTATTTTTGGTATAAACAAAGTCTTGCTATGTTGCCCAGGCTTGTCTTGAACTCCTGAGTTCACGCGATCCTCCCACCTTGGCCTCGCAAAGTGCTGGGATTACAGGCATGAGCCACTGCACCCGGCCACATTTCATTTTATACATTCTTTATCACGCACTTTATTACATATGTGTAACAAGTAATATGTATATAAATCTGGAGGAAAGTTGTATTAACAACAGAAGGTAACCACAGAAAAACAGAGCTACAAATGACCTCAGAGATACCTGCGTCAACCCTGTCACTTTAGAGATGAGGAAACTAAAGCCAGAGAGACTATGTCTGATGTGCCTTCTAAGTTGTGATGTTCTAGGATTGCAAGTTACATCCTATTGGCTTATGACTTAGAATTCTATTTCTAATCCTTCAGCAAAATAGCAGGTAGAATCCTATGGTATGGTTCTTTCTGCCTTCCTTGAAGATGTTCTGTGAAAACATAATTATTTGTAACATGGATATTTAATTCCTGGAGAAATAGAAGGCAGCAGAAAGTTCATTTGCTTCTCTATGTACAAGACAAATGGATTTTTAAGGCAAATATGAGGAGGCTTATTTATTGATAGCCCATGATTTCTAGGCACTGCATGCAGCACTTTTGTACATGATGCTTAAAGCTGCCAATAGCTTCATTATCCACCCCAATGTCCCAGTGACAAGTGCAGTGGGATGATCTAGGGCAGTCCTAGGACAGCCTGATTTCCAGTGCCCTTTAACACACGCGGAGCAGCCCAGAACGAGTCCTGAATGGTGCTCTTTCCTCTAAACTTGGAATGAAGCCAAAGGACCTCTTAGATATTCAACATTTCCCCATTCCCTGCCCCAGTATCTCTGGCTCTAACCTGGGCCTGGGTGCTACCCAGATGTGCCTTAGCTAAAGTGATGAATAGCAGGGTAGCAGAGTTCAAGCTCTGGTGCATCCAAATTGTCTAATGGAGCCCTAGGTAACTATTTAAAGAGAAGTTATTTTTTAAAAAGGCAACATATTCTCACAATGCCTATTTTTCAGATAGTAGAGCAAATGTATCAAAATACACAACCTTTTGATTCCTACTATCTTAAGCTGTAGGGTCTTCACAGTGTCTGGGGCCAGCAGGAAATGTTCTAGAAAGTGTCAAACATGAAGGGTTTGGAAATTCATAATCAAATGATGACTATGCTCTGTGAAGTTTCCAACCCTGTTGCATTTCCTCATTTGAGCAGTGGGTGAAGGCGAAGGGCAAAATACTCCAAGGGTTTGTTTCTGTGACAAAGAAACTTCAGTGTCGGTACCAGTAGGTGTGGGAAGAGAATGTAGAAAATGACATAAGGCAGTAGATATGTAAATAAATCACTAAAATAAGTAGTTGTTATGAAAAGAGAGTTGAGAGTTGAAATGAACAGGAATCTCAAAAACTGATTAGAACCTAACGATAGGAGTGTTCAAGTTGTTTTTCCTAGATCAGAGACTCACAAGGGCCTCATTCAGGTAACACAAGTAACTGGCAATCAATCTTGGGCATTTTGCCACCTCTCAAAAAGTCAGGAAAGGTGTGAATGAGCATTTATACTTAGAGAGAGGAAAACAAGCATTTCCCTCCAAGCAGAGCCATCATGTTTTCAGCCACCATCAAGTTTTTCCCGAAAACAAAGGCAAACCAATCTTCCCTTCTATAAGCTTAGTAGTATTATTAACCCCTTATTCACTGGTGCTGTCCAGGTATACAAAGGAAGCTTTTTTACTTACAGTTTGGGAGAGAAGAGTCCTCCTAGATATCAAAAGCTGTGGGTGAGGCAGCAGCTGCCAAATAAGACAGATCTTTGGTAGCACACAATTTTTATAGACTTCTCATCATGTTTTTTTTTTCCAATATTTGCCCTCCCCTTTCTACCTTGACCTAGTAGGGAGGTGTTTATTCAACACCTCTGATTGGCTCATAAACAACCAGTCCTTAAAATCATGCCCATATACTCCTTATGCTCATAGAATGTTAAAGCTGCAAGGAATGTCTTTAGACCGTGGAGTTCCTAATCCAGACCCTCCATTTCACAGATGAGGAAACTAAGGCAAGGAAGATAAGGAGGTTCCCTTAAGTCATACAGCTAGTCAATGATGGAGCTCTAGGGTCCATTAAATGATACTAGGAAGAATGTTAGTGTAGCTGTAACACTTACAAAACACATGAACTTGGTGACGGGTTTTTGGTTTTGTTTTTTACTTGTCTGAGCCGTTATTTTCTTCTCTGTAAAGTGGGATCTCAATTTCACAGGAGCATTAAGTGAGTTGTATAGTGTCTGTACGCAGTAGGCATTCAAGAATTATTATTTCCAAATTAGGTAATCAATGCTATATTTTCATTATTTATCTTCAGTATATCATTAGTAGTCAATTCCAACAATTTATTCTATAATTTATAGTTAAATTTAAATAATCTTTCAATAAAAGAAATTGATTCTGAATCCTTGAATTTCCCATGTGTGAATTTTGTCCAAATTGGAAATAAAATTCAAAACATTCTGTTTTTAAAAATCATTGTCTCTCCCATCTTCTCCAGTCCTCCAAAACCTAGCTGGGCTTTCTGATGTATTTAATGCCAGAAATCATTGTTTTGTATTCCCATTCTCTTTTAACCTTTGTACTTTTGTCTTCAAATTTGGTTAAAAACTAGAATTAAAGTGATTGAACTAAGCCATCAACACCCCTAAATATGGTACTGTCTGGGTATGGGTTCATTCTGCAGGGCTTTTTCCTAAGTATGAAACCCAAATTTAATTCCAGAAAAGGTAAATAAAAATATTATATGCTTCCAGAGGCAAATGATGAATGAGGCAAATAAATGAGGGAAATCTAAAAGTGATGGAATGACCGTAATTACAAAAAAGGGTAAATTCTCATGAACATGTTCCTCTGGAATAATTCATAAAATGGAAAACAAAACTAAGATGCTTGATTGTGCAGAGTGTAACACCAGAATTTATGGATGAAAAGGTGAAATGTCAACAAAATGAAGGAAAAAATAAACGGAACTAGGTGATCTAAAAAGAGTTTTGGTTTAGTTTTGGTTGTTTTTCCTAGATCAGAGACTCACAAGGGCCTCATTCAGGTAACACAAGTAACTGGCAATCAATCTTGGGCATTTTGCCACCTCTCAAAAAGCCAGGAAAGGTGTGAATGAGCATTTATACTTAGAGAGAGGAAAACAAGCATTTCCCTCCAAGCAGAGCCATCATGTTTTCAGCCACCATCAAGTTTTTCCTGAAAACAAAGGCTTCTGAGAACAGTAAGTATTCATCACTGAATGTGAATATTGAAGGAAATTGAAGTATTTGAAACACAATATTGAGGCTCATTTGGCTAGGGAAGTTCCCACCAAGCCCTGTCCTGAGGATAGTAGAGGGATAGACCAGGGAAAGGTCCTATCAGCTCCCTTGACTCCACTTAGTATCTGATGGCACATTTCCTGGTTTCCCCATCTTCAACTGGGCTCATTGAAGCACCTGCTACCATATTTGTCAGACCAATGTGACCAGCTTTGGGGCTATGTGAGGTTTCATCCTCTATGATTTTTGGTAAAGGAGAATGGAGGAACAAGAGGTGGATGGTGATGAAAGAATAGAGAGTGGGTGTAATGAAAGTTGTTAGGAGTCAGGGCTGGGGTAGTCAGAACCATAGCTAAAACATTCTACCTGCTGAGAGATGCTACTAGTACTAATTATTCTTGTTATACAACAATAATAGCTATCCTTTTTTTGAGAGTCTATGATGTACCTGGTTCTTTTCATAAATTATCTCCAATATCAGCGACTCTCTGAAGAAACGCTTATTACCCCCATTTTATGCATAACAAAACTCTGGTTCAGAGAGGGCAAGTAACTTGTCTAGAGTCACAGTACAGGTAGCTGGAGAGTTTGTCTCATTCCAAGACAGTGATCTAAAGCAGAGCTGCTTACATTTTGGTAACTGCAGACTCATAAATTAGCTCTTTCCCTATTGCCTTCTCAGCAGTTTATAACCTTGGACATTAAACTTTCATTAATCAGGGAGGAATGACTTGCGTCAGCAGACGTAGGTGTCCTTGGTGAGCTGGGCATGGCTCCATGTGAACAACAGCCTGGCTAGGAATGTCAGAACAGCATGAGTACTCCTGCCCTGAGTGCTGCCACTTGCTGCTGTTCTTGTAGCATCAGCATTTGCCCACCTCTGGGGCTTGATGTGCAACTGAAACTCAAAGTTCAGGAAAACAAAGCTAAGGGCTTACTGGACCTTAGAGAAACAGCAACTCTTGACCAACATACACTGCTTGCAGGGTTTTTGTTTTTATTTTTATTTTTGTTAAGTCTCCTAACACAATACAATGTTCAAAATTGAGTATTATATGTGGAAACAGCATTGGACTTGGAGGCTGTGAAACACTGGGAAGTTCTTCAACCTTAGTCCACAGTTTCCCCATCTGTAAAATGAACTAGGAATGCCTCTATCAGAAATGTATTATGAAGCATGAATGAAATAATATATGAGTGGCACTTTGTACAGAATAGGTTTTCATTAAATAGCTAGATCTGAATGCATAACTGGTTTAGAGGCCTTTGATTGTAGGATCTTAAAATAGGCAATGTAACAACAATACTATTCATGATCGTTACAGTCAATACTTCTAACAACAGCCTCGCTTATTCTCTACTCCCTGCCCAACTCTAGATATTTCTTCTGGTTTGAATGTGATATCTATATAAGTCAATCCACAGGCCATGAGATAAATGTGTTATTAATGCATAACATGAGGTCTGAGTCATAAGCAAACTTCTACATGCAAATAAATCTCACATATTATAGAGTTACACTTACTGTAGAATTAGCAATATTATAGAGAAAGAACTTTCATAAAAAGAGACCACATTACACAATGCAACTGGAAGAATCACGATTGGCATTTTAAAATATATTTTCCAAACTGTGGTACAGATATTTCCTTATCATATTGCAATCTGCTTTGGTGGTTGGAATAGTTTCAGGACCCCAAAATCAGTAGTTATTACTTTGGTCTAGAGATAGAGCTATGTTTTCTCAGCATGGCTCTCAAAAGTGTTTTGCTGTTATGTGTATAAGGCATTTTGTTAGCTATGGAGACTTTTTAGAGGATACGAGGTGAGTAAGACTGGCCTATTCTCAAGAAACCTGCATTCTAAAAGGAAGAGAAGATTGAAGTTGAGAATCAAATAAAATCAAACCAAATACAAGAATGTACATAAAAACACCAAGAGATTGTTGTTGTTGTTGCTGCTGTTGTCACTGCAGCATTTATGGATGACTGTGTGAAGTAACATTAAAGAAAAGTCCTATGAAAAGCCCAAATATTCGAGATTTTTTACAAGGCCAAGTCAATTGATTCAATCTGTCAGACTGTAAGACCTAGGGGGGTAGGGGGTAGTAATGTCTTACCAATGTTTCCTCATTATCCAGCACTATGCCTAGACACCAATCAACTTTTGTGGAATAAATGAATCAATAGATATATGAGTATCAATATAGGTGTATATTAGTATCAATCTCAGAAAAGTCTAGAGTAACTGGCTTATAATTCTCATCCCAGAGAACTTTGAAATAAATAATAAGTAGAGTATGAACATTCCTTTCTTCTAAAACTATACTAGGTTCTGAAAACTCTTCTATCATTGCTCATTTGGAATTTCACAGGAATCCAGGCTGTAGTGCCTTGCAATGGTACACAAGAACCACAGCCTCCCTACTTTCAGTAAATTCTGGTACAACACACATAACACAAAATTTACCATCTTAGCCATTTTTAAGTGTTCAGATTAGTAGCATTAAGTGTATTCACATTGTTGGGCAACCAATCTTCAGAACTCTTTTCATCTTGCAAAATTAAAACTCTATACCATTAAACAACAACTCTCCATTCATCCTCCCCACCACCCCCTAGCAACCACCATTCTGCTTTCTGTCTCTATCAATTTGACTACACTATGTACCTCACGTAAGTGAAATCATAGAGTTGTTGTCTTTTTGTGTCTGGCTTATTTCACTTGGTACAATGTCCTCAAGTTTCATCCACATTGTAGTGTGTGTCAGAATTTCCTTCCTTTTTAAAGCTGAATAATATTCCATTGTATGCTGCATTTTGTTTATCCATTCGTCTGTTGATAGACACTCGGGTTGCTTCTACCTTTTGGCTATTGTGAATAATGCTGCTATGAACATGGGTGTACAAATATCTTTATTTAGACTCTGCTTTCAATTCTTTTACGGTTTTATTGAGATAGAATTCACATAGATACAATTCACCCACTTAAAATGTACACTCCAATGGTTTTTTTAGTCTGTTCATAGAATCAGAGTATTAGATGTCAGTTTGTGAGAGAGATGTGGTAGGTTTTTAAGATGCTCCAAATCTGACGGTATAAATAGTTTTAAAGCACCACCATGAAGTCCAGGAGCAACAGCCACTGGGGTGCAGCAGATATGAGAATGAAAGAGTCATGGGTCCCATTTCATTTCCTTGTGGTAATTTTTTTAGATGCTCTTCATCACTAAGAAATCTGAACTCTGTGTATTCTAGGAACACTAGAGTGCCTTGTATATTCAAGTATCCAGGGTAAGTAAATTCAATAGTATCCAAATTGTGGGGCTTAAAAATACCCCTTTGACTAAAGAGTAAAGCTGATGCTTGAAGTATGTTGAAGAACTGGAGGATTTCCTTGTCTGAGGAAATATGGACATGCAGTTAGGATGTTGCAGAGGCAGAGTGAACAGGAAATAATTTCACACTCAGTGACGAGTATTTAGCTGACAGGAAAGAGTTACACAGTGGTCTGAAGTGTCCACCAACCCCCATTTCTCCATATGTCTTTGAATTGGGTTGTTAACTGCCTTGTCAGTGTTTTCTCTTTGTCTTTTGCTCAATCATCTCAAAGTTCAGTTTTTCCCTATCTAATCAGGTTGTTAATTACCTAGGTCATTTATGACCCCCAGCACAGTATTTATTTCACTCTTCCTTATAACAACTTTTCAGAAACTCTTTCATAAAACTTTCATAAAACTCTTTGGCATTAAGGTGAGATGGCCTTTTGCTAGGGTGGAAAAATCTCTAGATAAGGAGGCATGAGGTATGTGGGTGCTGAGTCCAGTTCTGCTGTTGACTGGCCATGGAGCTGAACAAAGTCAGCTTTTCCCAGCCTCCCTTCTCTAACGTGTAAAGTGGCCTGATAATACCACTACTGCCTAATTTTACTGTGTTGTTGCGGTGATCAAACGATATCATGTAAATTAGTGCTCTGAAAACTACGAAGACCTACATAAGTGTAAAATATTATAAAGCGAGCATTACACAGCTGATGCCTGTGTGTGCACATACACATGCACACACACACACACACACACGCATGCACACACAAGTTTGAGAATCAGAAAACAAGGTTTTGGCCCTAGCTTTGCCTTGATGACATTGCCCACTGGAGCGTATTCCCATTAGTTGAGCACGTACTATTAGGGAGACTTTTCTGGGCTCTAGAATGTGTCATTTAATCTCCACTACCTCAGCAGCATAGGCATTGTTTTGGAAAGGGGGGAGATGATCTGGTATCTTCCCCAAGGTCCCACCATTAGTAAGCAGCAGTGTAGGGACTGAAACACAGATCTATGACTCTTAAGCCAACCAGGGCTTTGAATTCTTATCTATACAGCAAAATGGGGGTCTCTTCTAGCTGTGCTATTCTGTGGTCTTTGCTGCCCAAATTGCGTGTTTTTGAGATATATGGTTACTCTAGAAAAAAGAAAATAATTTTAAACAGTAATATAATAAATATAGATTAGAAGATAAAATGTTTTCAGGCCAGGCACTGTGGCTCATGCCTGTAATCCCAGCCGTTTGGGAGGCCAAGGCGGGTGGATCAGCCTGGCCAATATAATGAAAACGCATCTCTACTAAAAATGCAAAAATTAGTTGAGTGTGTTGGTGGGCGCCTGTATTTCCAGTTACTCAGGGGGCTGAGGCAGGAGAATCGCTTGAACCCGGGAGGCGGAGGTTGCAGTGAGCAGAGATAGGCGACTGCACTCCAGCTTGGGTGACAGAGCGAGACTGCATCTCAAAAAGAAGAAGGAGAAGAAGAAGAAGAAGGAGAAGGAGAAGGAGAAGGAGAAGGAGAGGAAGAGGAAGAGGAAGAGGAAGAGGAAGAAGAAGAAGAAGAAGAAGAAGAAGAAGAAGAAGAAGAAGAAGAAGAAGAAGAAGAAGAAATGTTTTCTGTTGAGAAGTGCTGTTGGTATGGATTATTTATTGACTCTTACCTAGAAATCTTCAGAATGCTGGTATGTATGGAAGAAACAGGTAGTTCTAATATCCTGCCTCTTTTCCTCCAGCTATTTGGATTTCCTGCATCTCACTTCAGCACCCTTTAGGAATGAAGAATGCCAGCCTGACCAAATCCAGAACTACACTTTCCTGGAAGCCTGGCTAAAAGTCCCAGACTGGCAAGGGGCAAGCAGCCAGCAGCGTGTGCGGGTGGCAGGCCTGTCAGTGGCCACCTCAGTGCCACCTGCTCTCACACAAAGTGAAGAATGGAGCCACTCCGCTTCCCAGGTTATTAATCCAGTCACCTACAAATTCAACTCTCTGCCCTTCAGAAGGTTCAGCTATAAACCTTCTTGGAGTGCCAATATAACTTAGTTATTAAGAATGTGGACTTTGAAGTCAGATCAAACTTGTTTCAAATTCCAGCCCAGAGCTTTTGGGCTGGGTTACTTTGGAAAAGTTCTCTAACCTTTTTGAACTTCAGTTTCCTCCTCAGCAAAAATAATAATAATAATAAAACGTACCCTACAACATTGTTGGAGGATTGGGTTGAATAATGAATCAAAGTGTTAAGCATATACCTAGCAAAGGTAAGTACCACATAAATAACACGTCCTGTGATGATCATTGTCACTATGCCTTTCTCCTTTCCACATTCTCCACATTCTTCTCTCCCTCTGTCACCAAAGAGAAGTCCTTTCAAAATTTTTGCTCCCACAGCATTCAATCTCATCTCATTATCTCCTGTGTCCTTCATCTGGAATCTTCCATCCCACTTCCACCCTCAAAAGATTTCTCCATTTATTATGTAGAAAATGAAGCTGGAGCCTGAGTTCATCTCAGAGGTTGTATACTCGCATCCAAGAAGAGTACCCCTGTAGAAGGCAGTGGGGAGCTACAAATAAAGAAAGACTTCATCCCCTGTTACATAAACCAAAGGTGGGTATAACTTACATTCAGAAAAGATGGAGAGAAGTAGAAGCACGTTTGAGGAAAATAGAGAAAATGGCAATATTATTTGTGGAAAGTGTAAAAAGGAATGAAGGAGGGAAGATAAATAAAGAGATAAGGCCTTGCACCCATGTTTCCTGAGTTAGAAGCAGATCGGGCAGCTGGAAGACCCAACCTTCCAGGCAGGCAGACAGCTGACCTCGTTAGCACCCCTCCGCCATGTCATTCAAGGTGTGTGGCTGGCCTGCACCAGAGCACGCCTGTCCTCCGTGGCACAGCTGACTCTTAGGCGTGCTAGATCCCCCACTGGGGTGCCAGATGGAGGTGTAAATAAGAGGCTGGAACAAGTTATCTCTGTGGCAGGGAGCCCAGGAAAATTCGTCCAATTGCTGGCACTCCAGCAGGAGGCTGCATGCTCAGTGATCATGACCAGGCAGCAGATGTCCTGGCTTCCTTGGAGGGGAGAAAAGGAGGGTATTCATGCTCTTGCAATTTATTTCCTACCCAGACCCAGGGCGGGCCTGCTCTTTTTGCCACTCCGTTTAATGGCTTTTCTTTGGGTCATTTGCCAAGTGAGAACAGAGACCCTCTGATCCGAAGGAGGAATGGAAAAGCTGTCAGTTAAAAAAAATGGGAAGAATAGAAAGGCAGTCATTTATTAAAAAATAATTATGTTTTTTACCATATGACCCAGGAATTCCACTCCTGGGTATCTACCCAAGAGAAATAAAAACATACATCCACGTAAACACACACCCTAGTATGCACAGCAGTATCATCCATAACAGCCAAAAAGAGGAAACAAACCAAATGTTCATCAACTGGCAAATGGATAAACAAAATGTGATATATCCATACCATGGAACATTATTGAGTCATAAAGAGGAATGACGTACTGATACAAGATACGACATGGATGAACCTTGAACACATTATGCTAAGTGAGAAAAGCCAGGCACAAAAACTCACATATTGTATGATTCCATTTATATACAATATCTAAAATATACAAATCCACAGAGACAGAAAATATATTAGTATTGCCTAGATCAGTTAGGGCAGAGGGAATGGGGAGTAACTGCTAATGTACATTGGATTTCTTTTGGAATGACAACATTTTTCTAAAATTAGATAGTGAAGCTGCTTGCTCGACTTTGTAAATCTGCTGAAGACCATTGGATTTTGTGCTTTAAATAGATGAATTTTATGATATGCAAATTATGTCTCATACAGCTGTTAAGTAAATGAATAAGTAAAAATATAATAATTATATTCTGGGATGTTGTGGTCAGAGAAAACAAGCAGCTACCTCTTGCTCACAGTGTGTGAAGGTAAATTTGCCAGTCATTTCTCCAGTGCCCTCTCCCCTCCTCCAACCCCAAAGGCATAGTCTCTGACATCTTCTTCCTCAAGATGCATGTACTCCCTTATCCATCCTGGACCTATGAGGGAAGCTGCCTATAGAGATTCTGCAAAAGTGAGGGTCCCTTTTGACTCAGGTCTAATAGGGAAGAGAAAGCAGGATCACACATAGGTATGTATAGCTCAGATCTCAGCTGGGGTCTCCTTGTCTTTTTAGATACAGAAAGGGCTGGCTCAAATCTTCATTCTACAACTTCCAGAAAGTTCAATGCTTTCCCCTAATTTGGGGGGAACTTCCCAAGGGAGTTATAATATTAATGTCACCTTGGCTCAGAGCTTCTCATTTCACTAACTCAGTTCAGTCAAGTACCTGGCTCATCACAGCAGACCCTTGTACCAGCCCTGCCAGTGCCATGATGGGAAATTTGGTTCCCTTTATTTGATTTCCATAAAACCCCAAAACAAACAAACAAACAAACAAAAATTTCACTTTCAAAAAGCCTTTATGTAGACATAACTAAAAGTTTACAAAGAGAAATGGGAATTACATGGTGGCAACAGATCAATTTAAAATTGAGCCTTAATCCTGTCAACTGATCATAGGAAGAGAAAAAGAAGACAGAAAATAAACAAAATTGAGCATTAGTCATCCTTATTTGTAGAAGTCCTTTGAAATACCACACCTTGTATGAGATACCATGTATGGTGTGTTCTATTCACTGCTTCAAACTCTGCTTCTCTTCTCTCCTTTCTCATCTCTCCTCCTCATCTATTTCCTCACAAATTCCACTCAGAGATCTGAGTTACTTTTTCTCCCCTGGGCAGCAGTCTTCAACTCACCTTTAAACTTTATATTTCCAAACAGATCAATGTACTGGCCTATTGTACAGGGTTATCTGCTCTGCTAGCAACAAGTTGACTCACAAAAACCGTTTTCTTCCTTTAACACGTTCCATATTCTTTAAACGGCACTTTTGGTATTGCATCACAATTTTAGTTTCTCTTTTAAGTATATTCCAAGGTTGTGTTGTGAGGCCACAGGAGAGGCAAAGGGGAATGCTATAAATGAGTTCAGAGGAAAGGCAGTCTCTTTTCCTCTGATACTGCAGGGAAGAATCAAAATAAGGAAACTGCAAACAGGTTGGGAATGTGTAGAGTGTTTCTGCTCCGAGATAGAACTCACAGTGTGTTTGTATGAAATGGAGGATGGAGTTGGATGCTGAGCTGTGATGAGAAGCAGTCCTTCTACATATCTGTTTTCTCCCCTGCCCCTTTGCCCTGTGACTTTGGGGGTGAAATAGACAAGAAAACACCAGAGAAGAATTAACAAAGGACAACAATTCCTTTATACTCAGATGATGTAATTTCGTTTTCTTGAGCTAGACATGACCAGAACAGACACTGGCCTTGTTAGCTAATCATTGCCAGGAAGAAAGGCAAGGGAAGATACAGGAGATTTTGAACCTGAAGCTATTTTTTAAATAGACATCCACCTTCTTTAAACTGGGTTATAAAACTCAAAGCCCACACAAGAAAAACACTTACACATTTGCTTGCTAAAATCAAGAATAACACTGCTTAAAATTAGGTAAGTATCAATGTTTTTATCGTAGGCATGTAGGAAATCTAGCCAAGACTAGAGCTACTTGGTTAGTAATATACAGACTATAAGTATCTGGTGTTTTAGGCATTCATTTGAAATAAAGTAAAGACAATTTTTGAAATGGAGTAAAACAATGCTTGTATCAGCTTCCACATGTGTGTCGTCGTCTGCTGAGTAGAGGCTGAATGGTCTGGCTCCTTAACTTTCATCAGACCAATGCTAGGGGAGAGTCTGAGCTTCACAATCAAGAAAGGCTTTGTGTTAATCTGTTTGGGTTGTGTATTAGTCTGTTCTCACGCTGCTAATAAAGACACACCCAAGACTGGGTAATTTATAAAGAAAAGAAGTTTAATTGACTTAGAGTTCAGCATGGCTGAGGAGGCCTCAGGAAACTTACAATCATGGCAGAAGGAAGAGCAAACACGTCCTGCTTCAAATGATGGCAGCAAGGAGAAGTGCCAAGCAAAAGGGGGAAAAGCCCCTTATAAAACCATCAGATCTCATGGGAATGCACTCACTATCATGAGAACAGCAGCATGGGGGTAGCTGCCCCCATGATTCAATTACCTCCTACCAGGTCTTTCCCATGACACATGGGGATTATGGGAACTACAATTCAAGATGAGATTTGAGTGGGGACACAGCTAAAAGGAATTGCTACAAAGGAATATCTGAGACTGGGTAATTTATAAAGAAAAGAGGTTTATTTCAGCTGACAGTTCTGCAGGCTGTACAGGCATGGCACCAACATCAGCTCAGCTTCTGGTGAGGGCCTCAGGAAGCTTTTTAGTCATAATAGAAGGCAAAGGGGGAGCCAGTATACCACATGGCAAGAGGGAGCAAGAGAGAGCAGGGGGAGGTCCCACACTCTTAAATAACCAGATCTTGAGTGAACTAGCTGAATGAGAACTCACTAATCACCAAGGAAGTGGTGCTAAGCTATTCATGAGGGATCTACCCCCATGATTTAACACTTCCCACCTAGCCCCACCTTCAGCATCGCAGATCACATTTCAACATGAAATCTGGAGGGGTCACACATCCAAATCATATCAGGCCTAAAATTCATTTTGGATGTTATCACCAAATGAGTTTTACACACAGTTATTGCTTCATGCATGGATTCAAAGCATTACTTTACTAAACGTATAAATCCAATTTATACCACAAGTTTTGGTAACTCTGGTTTTGCCATTTCTTCACTTTTATTATATTTACTGGAAACTTAAAAGTATGGAAGTAGCCTGTGTGTCCCTTGGCCTTTGAAAGGCCCTGTCTTTCACTTATCTTGATTGTTTATATACATATGTATCTTATATATGAATCACACACACACTTACATATATATATATATATATATGCACACAAATATCTTTATTCCACAGCAAAGGAAAATAAACTTGGCCTTAAGTTCCCTAATGATTTAGCAAACAATCACTGCAAAGAAATATTAGGGGAGGATTGCTTGAAGAAGATGCAGTCCATCTAGTTTGAATGATCTCAGAGGTATCAAGAATGAGAACCTTATATGCTTGTGCCTACACCTTTCCTACTGGAATCATTTTGGAGGAATAGCACTTGTGTGCTTTTGGTATGAAATATTAGGGGAGGATTGCTTGAAGAAGATGCAGTCCATCTAGTTTGAATGATCTCAGAGGTATCAAGAATGAGAACCTTATATGCTTGTGCCTACACCTTTCCTACTGGAATCATTTTGGAGGAATAGCACTTGCGTGCTTTTGGTATGACACCATCTGATTTGTCTGAAGGTCATGATCAGAAAAAAGTCTGTTCAACTTACCCTTGGGCTGTTGTCCAGTAATCTCTTCATAGGCTATGCTCTTTATGAAGTGCTCAGAGATCCCCGTCTGATTAGAAAATTAAGAATAGTTGTGCTATTCTTAACACTGTTTTATTGATTGCAGCTTTATGATGCATTTAGACATCTGAAAGAATATACTCCTCATAATCTCCTTCCAATATTTCTTGCTCTTATTACCTCTTAATTTTTTAAACACAGTTTAGAATGATTTCATGAAGTTCCCAATTAGATATTTTGATTGAAATTATACTAAACTTATAAACAAATTAGGAAATAATTGATATGTTAGTGAAACTTGCCATCAAGAAAAATAATATGCTTCTGTATTCACATCTTAATTTTTATAATTCACTAAATGTTTGTAGTTCTTTTGACAACTGGCCCTGTGCACTTCTTAAGTTTGTTTTAAGAAGATTTCTGTTATGTTAAATTGGACATTTTCTTATTATATTTTTAATCTATTAATGCTGTTGGAAAATCTATTTTTTTATTATAGGAAAGCTTGAGCCTAGAAGTTTGAGACCAGCCTGGGCAACATGATGAAACCCTGTCTCTACTAAAAATGCAAAAATTAGCCAGGCGTGGTGGCACATGCCTGTAGCCCCAGCTACTTGGAGGCTGAGGCAGGAGAATCGCTTGAGCCCGGGAGGTGTGGCTGCAGTGAGCCGAGCTCACGCCATTGCACTCCAGTCTAGGCAACGGAGTGAGACTCTGTCTCAAAACAAACAAACAAACAAACAGGGAAGAACAAAAAAAGAAAGAAAAAAGATACAAAGGAAGGAAGGAGAGAGCGAGGGAGAGAAAGAAAGGGCAAGCAAACAAGAAAGAAGAAAGAAAGAAAGAAAGAAAAAGAAAGAGAGAGAAAGAAAAAGAAAGAAAGGAAGAAAGAGAGAGAAAGAAGAAAGAAAGTTGAAAGAAAGGAAGAAAGACGGGAAGGAAGGAAAGAAAGAAAGAAAAAGAAAGAAAGAAAGAAGGAAGGAAGGAAGAAAGAAAGAGGAAAGCAAGAAAGAAAGAAAAGAAAAGAAAAGAAAGAAAAGAAAAGAAAAGAAAAGAAAAGAAAAGAAAGAAAAGAAAAGAAAAGAGAAGAAAAGAAAAGAAAAGAAAAGAAGGCAGGTGGGCGGGCGGGCAGGCAGGCGACTGACAATTTTAAAACATTAATAACAGCTGAACCGCTGTGGCGGCAGCTGCTCTGGCCGGTGCGAGGCAGCGGCGCCCGGCGCCTGCAGGAGGTGCTGGCGGCCCAGGTTGGAGGCGGGGACACAGTCAGAGCCGGGTGGGGCATGGAGGGCCGAGGTGGGCTATCTGTTTAGGCCGGGACGGGGGTGCAGGGCTAGGGCGGGGACCCTGTCCCGACCGGGTCACTCTCGTGGGAAGAGGGCGGGCGCTGTGTCCGGCAGTCAGAACAAGCGGCTGCGAAGGAGAAACGAAGCGCACAGAACCGTGAGCTCCACAGGGAACGGACTGATCCTTTGCTAGTCCCCGATGCCCGCACTAAACCTGTCACAAGGCGGCGCACGGGTACCTGGTGGCCGAAGAGGCAGCGGTGTCCAGTGAGTTGGATTCTGGAGGCGGTGGGAGCCAACACTTGCTGCGCATCAGTGAGCAGAGCCACAGTCAAATCCATGTGACCTTCCAAGAGCAAGCACAATTGTCCTGTGCAAATCCCAGACGGATGTTCCAGAAAAGAGAAATAGCAACATAAAAACCATGTCTCCAGGCAGCTTACTAAAAAGTATAGTTCATAAGTAACCATAATTCTGGGCAACAGCACAGTCTGCTGAACTAACCTTACAAGTACAATAAAATGTGTCACCTTAGCGTATTAAAGCAACATATTATCAGGCAAAGAACAGGTGCTCAGACATATATAAATATCTCCAACAACAAACGGAAAATGCATCTTTATAAAAATCATTTCCAACATCATCAAACAGCATAAAATATTTATAAACAAACCTAGCAAATAGGTAAGATCTCTATGGAGAAAATTAGAAAATCATTTTAATTTTAAAACTTAAATATAATTAAAAATGTAGTACCATAGTCACTCTGATCTCATTTCAAGTGCTTACTAGCCATGTGTTGCTAGTGGCAAGAGTGTTGCACAGTGCAGTATTAGACCTCTAAGGTTATAGAAAACTAAGGAAGTTTTTTAGTTTGTTGCGGAGAAGTATGATATGGTTATCAATAAAACTTCCAAGCCTAAAAATATATTACATTTACATAAAGTTCTGTGAGGGATATGGAACCGAATAATGTAAATGTTCTGAACTTTAACATGTAATTTTCTTTAATGGGTATTTAATCATTATCTTGTTTAAGATTCCATGATTTGTACTTAAAAGGGTCACCAATGTTAAAACATACTGGATATGACATCCTTTGGAATTATTTACATTTATAATAGAACATAGATACTCATTTACAATGCGAAAGTGTATATGGTCTCTCAAAATTATTTTTGAGAAGAATGCAGGTTTTTTTGTTTTTGTTTTGTTTTGGTTTTTTTTTTTTTTAGAGATGGGGGCTTGCTATGTTGCTCAGGTTGGAGTACAGTGGCTGTTCACAAACACAGTCATTGTGCACTACAGCCCCAAACTCCTGTGAGTGACCCTCTTGCATCAGGCTCTGGAGTAGCTAGGACTACAGGCTCAGGCCACCACTCCCAGCTTGAAGACTGCCGTCTTAAGGGTACTTAATAATTTTTTTTCAGTGGCTATATATATTTTAAATGTTTTATCTGTCAAAAAGAAAAAAAAAGAACAGATGTTGAGTATTATCAAAGTCTTTGGGGCCATTACAAATAATTTTTTTGTTTTTCACTGCTAATATGAAGATTTTGATATCATTAATTACTTTATATCATTTGTATCCTTGGAATATTACTTGATTATAAACCAAGGTCCCATGGAATTCAGTCCTGCCATGAACACATGCAAAGTCATGTAATCAAAGTAATGAAAAAATAATTTAAAAGCATATTTGTGTTTCTCAAGGGACGTTAACAAAGATCAGATTCATAAACAGAGTAACACTTCTTTATACCCACTTTTCTTTGATTTTTCACTCCATAAATACTCCAGAGTCTCTCACTATCTCACGCCCTCCCTTTCGTCTCTTCCAAAGGTCACCCAGATAAGTCTTTAGAACAGATTATTTTCGGTACTCCTTCCCTGTGCCACATCACATCTCTTTTCCACAGGAAATTGAAGCCAACACTAGTATTTCTGCTCACAAGCTGCACCAGGGCTCCTGAAAACAGCTGGAGGACATGGAAACTCTATGCCTCCATTTGTCTGTAATTCTTTACAGAGAGAACTTAAGACCCTCTAAGAAATGTAGTTGTTGTCTCACTCTGGCTGCTTTTCTCAAAAAATCCTCTTGGAAAATTCCTTAAGAATAAAACCATCTATCTTTTTGCTGGACTGAAATTTCCTTGGCCAAGCTGTATTATCATCTCTATATATCATATACATGAGATGATATATATATGTACATAGATATACACACACACACACACACAGATATGTTTTGGCTGTGTCCCCCCCCAAATCTCCTCTTGAATTCCCACAAGTGGGAAGGACCTGATGGGAGATAATTGAATCATGGGGGCAGGTCTTTCCCATGCTGCTCTCATAGTGCAAATAAGTCTCATGATATCTGATGGTTATCTAAGGGGCAGTTTTCCTGCACAAGCTCTCTGTTTGCCTTCTGCCATCCATGTAAGATGTGACTTGCTCCTCCTTGCCTTCTGCCATGATTGTGAGGCGTCTCCAGCCACGTGGAACTGTAAGTCCATTAAACCGCTTTCTTGTATAAATTACCCAGTCTCGGGTATGTCTTTATCAGCAGTGTGAAAATGAACTAATACAGTAAATTGATACCAGTAGAGTGGGGCGCTGCTGAAAACATACCTGAAAATGTGGAAATGACTTTGGAACTGGGTAACAGGCAGAGATTGGAACACTTTGGAGGGCGCAGAAAAGACAAGAAAATGTGGGAAAGTGTGGAACTCCCTAGAGACTTGTCGAATGGCTTTGACAAAAATGCTGGTAATGATATGGACAATGAAATCCAGGCTAAGGTGGTCTCAGATGGACATGAAGAACTTTTTGAGAACTGGAGCAAAGGTGACTCTTGTTATGTTTTAGCAAAGTGACTAGCAGCATTTTTCCCCTGCCCTAGAGATTCATGGAACTTTGAACTTGAGAGAGATGATTTAGGGTATCTGGCAGAAGAAATTTATAAGCAGCAAAGCATGCAAGAGGTGACTAGGGTAATGTTAAAGGCATTCGGTTTTAAAAGGGAAACAGGGCATAGAGGTTCAGAAAATTTGCAGCCTGATAATGTGATAGAAAAGAAAATCCCATTTTCTGAGGAGAAATTCAAGCCAGCTGCAGAAATTTGCATAAGTAACAAGGAGCCAAATGTTAATCACCAAGACAAAGGGGAAATGTCTCAAGGGCATGTCAGAGGTCTTCACGGCAGCCCCTCCCATCACAGGTCGGGAGGCCTAGGAAGAAAAGTTGGTTTCATTGGCTGGGTCCAGGTCCCCCCTGCCCTGTGCAGCCTAGGGACTTGGTACCCTGCATTCTAGCCACTCCATCCATGGCTAAAAGGGGACAATGTACAGCTTGGGCTGTTGCCTCAGACTTTGGAAGCCACAAGCCTTGGCAGTTTCCATGTGGTGTTGAGCCTGCAGGTGCATAGAAGTGAAGAATTGGGGTTTGGGAACCTCTGCCTAGATTTCAAAAGATGTATAGAAATGCCTGGATGCCCAGGCAGAAGTTTGTGGCAGGGGTGGGGCCCTCATGGAGAACCTCTGCTAGGGCAGTGCAGAAGGGAAATGTGGGGTCAGAGTCCCCATACAGAGTCCCTACTGGACAGCTCAAGTGGAGCTGTGAGAAAGGGCCACCATCCTCCAGACCCCATAATGGTAGATCCACTGACAGCTTGCACAGTGCGCCTGGAAAAACTGCAGACATTCAACATCAGCCAATGAAGGCAGCCAGGAGGGAGGCTGTACCCTGCAAAGCTACAGGGGCAGAGTTGCCCAAGACCATGGGAACTCATCTCTTACATTAGTTTGACCCAGATGTGAGACATGAAGTCAAAGGAGATCATTTTGGAGCTTTAAGATTTGACTGACCTGCTGGATTTCGGACTTGCATGGGGCCTGTAGCCCCAATGTTTTGGCCAGTTTGGAATGGCTGTATGTACCCAATGCCTGTATCCCCATTGTATCTAGGAAGTAACTAACTTGCTTTTGATTTTACAGGCTCATAGGCAGAAGAGATTTGCCTTGTTTCAGATGAGACTTTGAACTATGGACTTTTGAGTTAATGCTGAAGTGAGTTAAGACTTTGGAGGACTGTTGGGAAGGCATGATTGGTTTTGAAATGTGAGGACATGAGACTTGGGAGGGGTCAGGGTGGAATGATATGGTTTGGCTGCATCCCCACCCAAATCTCATCTTGAATTTCCATGTGTTGTGGGAGGGACCTGTTAGGAGGTAATTGAATCATGGGGGCAAGTCTTTCGCATGCTGTTCTTGTGACAGTGAATAAGTCTCACAAGATCTGATAGTTTAAAAAGGGGAATTTCTCTGCACAAGTTCTTTCTTCTCTTGTCTGCTGCCATGTGAGACATCCTTTTACCTTCTGCCATAATTGTGAGGCCTCCCCAGCCATGTAGAAATATAAGTCCAATAAACCTCTTTCTTCTGTAAATTGCCCAGTTTGGGGTATGTCTTTATCAGCAGTGTGAAAATGGACTAATACACACACACACACTCACACACACATATATACACACACACACATACAGTTTATGTCACTATTATACCTCATTGTAAATGAATAACTAGTCTTCTGGATCTATGTTTTTATCTTATGACCCTGGTTAAGATGATTCACTCTGAGAAATGTATCTGTTCTGAGCCTATAAATAAAATCCAGATATGATGCTGCAGGGCTGTAGTTCAAACCATATGTCATGAGAAATTTACCCTGTGAGGCCTGTAGTCTTGTCCTTTTGATCCCTGGATAAACCCAGACACTACCCCCATAGTTGAAAAAATGCCACTAAATTGCATTATATGTAGGGTTTTGCATTCTGCTTTTTTGTGTTCCATTACATCTTGAGCATTTTCCTATGACATAATCATAGAAAAACCATATCTGAGAATGTAATTTTTAATAGGTCTATAATATTCTAAGATATATATATATACATATATATATGCCTTTATTTATTTGACTGGTAGTGTGACAAGTCCCCCACCAGGATACTTAAGGGTATATGTCTGCTGCCTGAACCCTGAAGACTGGGCAGTGACTCACAGTCATGATGCCCTGCAGAGAACTAAACAAGTGTCCCTGAAAACCCAAATATCCCGGAGAGTATCTGAGAACCTACCAAGAAAAACAGTCTCATTGCTCAAACACAGCAGGCAAAGAGCCAGAAATTAGCTTAAAAGCAGTTTAGAGATGGGAGGTGGTGCGGATCTCGAGAGCTGTCCCGCCACCATCCAGGAGTGCCCTGTGCATAAGTCCTAATAAACTCATCTACTCGTTAAGCTGGACTCGTTCAAGTCATTCTTTGGTCTCTTCATTCCTTCTCAGTTTGGAGGGAACATTAAAGTTCCAAGTTTTTCTTGTAACAAACCAACTTCTGTTATTGGAAGTCTGCCTATTTCTAATTGTTTGCTGTTATTATACATAAAGATGCAATGAATAACCTTATAGGTAAAGCTTTTTATACACCTCTGCTTTTTTCATTCATAAACTTCTAGGACCAGAAATATTAGATCAAATTGAATTAATGCTGTGGCCAACTGCAAATTGTTCCCCAATATCCATTTTCCCCTTCTAAAGTAGTAGAGTTTTAGCTGGGTCTATAGCTACGTCGTTAATGATATTTCTATATAGCCAGCCTGGCAGCTAGATGTGCCTGTGTGACAGGTCTGGCTAGTGGGATGTGAGTGTAATGAAATGATGTGGGCCCATTAAAGAATTATGCTTTGCCAGGCATGGTGGCTCATGCCTGTAATTCCAGCACTTTGGGAGGCTGAGGCGGGAGGATCACGAGGTCAGGAGTTCAAGACCAGCCTGACCAACACGGTGAAACCCCATCTCTAGTAAAAATACAAAAATTAGCCTGGTGTGATGGTGCACACCTGTAATCCCAGCTACTCAGGAGGCTCAGGCAAGAGAATCGCTTGAACACAGGAGGCGAGTTTGCAGTGAGCAGAGATCGCGCCACTACACTCCAGCCTGGGTGACAGAGTGAGACTCTGTCTCGAAAAACAAAAACAAACAAACAAACAAAAAGAATTATGCTCAATTCCCTGTCATTGTTGTTTTTTCCCCAGCTCTTTACTGGTGAGAAGATAGCAAAAGCTGAAGCAGACACAGAATCCACAAGTGGAAAATACAGCAGTGCCATTAAAGGTAATAAAAGATAAAGTTTATCTTTCTTCCAAGCTCTTTATTTTAATTTCTTATAGGATTTTTGTTACTTTTTAATGTTGTTTTAAGTAAAGAAGACTAAAAGTTTAAATCAGTATAAATTTTCATTTTTATATTGTGCCACACCCATTTTAAATGCAAATATAAGAGCACTTAACTCGTGTCGAATCACAAAAATTACAATTTGTATTTTGTGGTTCATACATGGATATGTAGTTCATTCTTACCAGAAGAGTAGGAACAATGCACACACAAAAAATTCAACTGTTTTTATTTCACTGCTTGATAAAATATGTTCTATCAACATGCTTTGCCTTCTACCTACTGATGAGTAAGGAAGGACTGACAGGAAAAGGAACTACAGGTTACCCTATTGTTCCCTTTCTGTGTTATTTTCAAAGTAAGTTCCTGGCTGATACAGGGAAGTAGCACAAGTAATAAAGGATGTGGTGGGGTTCCTTTGTTGTTCATGTTTCTAACAATGCCATTGCTTTCTTTCTGGAACAGAAGCAAGTCTAGTTTGAATGGAATGCTTGGCCTTTTGGGATCTGTCAGTACTCTCTCCCAGACCCCTGTTAGTCATAGACATAACACACTTAACTTGTACTCACTTGGAGTCTCCCCAAACTCCCATGCATCGTGGGTCTACTGGGATTCTGTGGTCAGAGAGCATTGCCGTTACTACATTCAAACATGGTGGCATGACATGATATACCTACTGTGAATGACAGGTGTCATACAAAGGAAGGACAGATGCACCTACTGTGTATTCCTCTGTTTATGTGCATGCTTCATTGTCCCATTGGATTTGACTTACAAAATACAAATTCAAAGATGAAATTATGAAGAATTTCAAGATGGCAGCAGCAGAGCATTAGGCTACACATTGGGCCCTTCTGATTGTGGGGCTCTGTGTGACTGCACAAGACAAACCCTCATAAAGCCAGCTCTGGGTGGCGGAGCCCTGGACTGCCTGCCTACTGGATGTTAAATGAGATTGAAATAAATTTTGACCTAGTTTAAGCTGTTGTATTTTGAGGTCCCTTTTATACACTTTGCATCCTGACTTATGAAAACACTTTTAGTTCTCAAAACGTACTGCCAATTGCATAACAAAGAGACTATGTCCCTATGTTTAGTTAACACCCCCATGAGCAGTATATGACCACAAATGTTTCCCTCTGCTCTTGCTATTGTCTCTATTTTGATATTTCAACAGCATGCCCAATTCAAAATGCCCCAAACCAAACTCATCTCTCCTCCAATATCAAACACAGACACAATATCAAACACAGCAACTAATATTTATTTAGCTTTTAACATGTACCAAGCGTTTTGCAGGCTTATTTCATTTATTAGGTATCATCATTCATTGTGGCCATTTTCCAGATGAGGAAATGGAAGCTTATGTAACTTACTGAAGGTAATACTGAGCTGAGATATGATTTCAGTATTTATGGCTCCAAAGCCTATGAGCATACCACTTGTCTCTCCTTTTCTATGATGGCAAAATAATTCCTAAAACAATGGTGGTGTGATTGGGAAAAGAAATGTTTTTCTTTACATCTTGCAGCAAATCAATGTCTACAATAAATTCAGAATTCTAGTATCCTGTCAGATCACTCTGTTCCCATCATTTCTACCATTGCCAACACACCCTGAAAACTAGTGTATTCACCTGGGAGAGTTTGCTCAGGGAAGCGAGGGTTTTTAAAAATCCCCCTAGTGACCTCTTGTGGCTGATGGACACCCTGCTGAGACCCTGCCTCTGGAATCTACCTGGCTTGCTGCTTCATGTTCACCCCTCCCCGGGCTACAGAAAAAGGGCTCCAAGGAAATCAGAGTTAGGAAATGGGTCGTCCCTGGTTTCAAACAAAGGGCATCATTCCAATATGTGTCAAAAATAAGCTCAGAAAATTTGTAAGAGAGATGGGTTTTCTGTTTCCTGGACTTGCCTTTCATATCTTTTTTCTTTCTTTCTTTCTTGCATCCTCTCTCATTTTTCTTAATTTAGGTGAGGAGAAAATGTTGTAATAACATGTAAATCAGATTAGATAAATAATGATGCTGTAACAAGCCTGGTGGCATAATAGTATATACGAAGGTGTTTACTGAAGTAGTGATTTTAACAGAAAATTTATCTATCAATCTATCTATCTATCTGAAGGAGATTTTAAGTGATTGTATTACCTTTATACCGTGAAATACTACAAAGCCATTAAAATGTATATATGAATACACACTACAGACATACAGACATACACACACATACAGGTGAGGAAAAGGGTGCAGGTAAAGAAACTAAGTTACAAAACAACTTGCATGTTATCCCTTTTTTGTAACACTGGATGTATGCTTCAATGTAAAGAGAAGATAAATTCACCAAAATATTAACTATGGTGATCATCTCAGAGTGGTGGAATTACAGAATTTTTTTTGAGACTGAGTCTTGCTCTATCGCCCAGGCTGGAATGCAGTGGCATGATCTCGGCTCACTGCAACCTCCGTCTCCCAGGTTCAAGCAATTCTCCTGCCTCAGCCTCCTGAGTAGCTGGGATTACAGGCGCGCACTACCACGCCCGGCTAATTTTTGTATGTTTTAGTAGAGACAGGGTTTCACGATGTTGGCTGGGCTGGTCTCAAATTCCTGACCTCAAGTGATCTGCCCGCCTTGGCCTCCTAAATTGCTGCAATTACAGGCATGAGCCACTGCGCCTGGCCAAGGAATTACAGATTTTTAAAAAATTATTTACAGTTTTCTGTATTGCAGTGGTTCTCAACTTAGTACATTAACAACCTATGAAAAATCTGAATGCTCAGCCCACTCTAGACAAATTAAGTCAGAACTACTGGAAGTGAACCCAGGTTCTAGTAATTTTTTAAATTACCCAGATGATTCAATGTGCAATCAAGCTTGAGAATGAGTATATTGTTTGAATGCTTTACAATCAGTGATCATGTTATAAAGCAGAAAGAAGGGAGAGCCAGAAGAAGTTATCTTCATTTTGCTAATTTATGTGCAGTGTGCATGTGTGTATACTGTGTATGCAGTGTGCATGTGTGGCGGTTGCAGACAAACTAAGGCTAAAGCTGGTAAAAATCCAAAGGAACACAGTAAAGTCACCTAGTTGATCATGAAATCTGGTCAGAAAAACCTGGCTTTGTTTCTTTGTTCTAATACTTCCTGGCTATGTGACCTTAAGCAGCTCACTTCACCTGTTTGAATGTCCATTTTCTTTTCTAGTAAGAGTAAAAGGGAAATTCTATTCCCATAGAATTGTAGGATTCAGTGTCATATTGCATGAACAAGGGCTATGTAAGTTGCTAGTTATAATATGTGGTGGAGTAAAGAAGTAGAAAAGAAAGCAGGAGAAATAACTGAGCACTGAAAGACAAAATATTAACATTCCAGGAATGTTAATATTTTTTGTTTCTCCTGAATGCTTTATTTCCCTAACAAACATAGTTGCTGAGGGCCCGCTTTGCACCAGACACCATTTTAAGGGATAGAAGAGAAAACCTAATGACAGTCTGATTGCCGTCAAGAGGCTCACATGTGAAAGGGAATGAGGAGCTGCAACAAATAGCACAATGCGGTAAGTACTGTAAAGACGTGTGCCCAAGGCAGTAAGAGGCGCCAGTGCCTCTTTCAGAGAAGGGGAGGCAAGACTTGTGAAGCCTACAGAGAGCTAAGATCAGGAAATACTGGCTACATGCTTTGTTCTCTAGGGGGAGCTCAAGGCTTTCTCCTTTGATATCTGAATGGAATCAGTACTTCCAGTGAGAAGGGTGTATGTAGATAGATAAGTTGAACTGTGTTAGGATAAATGCTCCAATGCCACTTGATCTTGGAGTTCTTTCTTGTTAGGTATTTTCTATTGAATGGCGTCTTCCTTTGCTCCCGTGAAGCTGGTTCTATGGAAAGACATTGGGTTATCCCTCCCAGTTAAAAATGTTGCTCCCTCCACTTAGAAGACTAAGGAAGAACCAGAGTGAAGGAAGCCCCATGGGCAGGAAGAGGACTCATTTGGGCTCAAGACATTCAGTCCAACCTAGCTCACAAGGATGGATGAGATCATGATTCGGGACCATAACTTGTCACTTGTGCACATACTCTAAACGGTGGCGTTTTTCAAGGTATTGAAAGGAGGTGGCAGGATAGGATTAAGAAATTTGATCCAGACAGGCTTATCAAATTCACTACAACCAACAGATGGTTCTAGATTTTTTTTTTTTCATTAATGTTTCATGACTATGTGCTCTCGATTTGAAGTTTCAAGGTCCTCTTGAAGTTTTTTTTGTTTGTTTTTTTAGACAGGGTCTTGCTCTGTCACCCAGTGCAGTGGTGTGATCATCATGGCTCAATGCAGCCTCTTACTCCTGGGCTCAAGTGATCCTCCCACTTCAGCCTCCCAAAGCATTGGGATTACAAGCATGAGCCACACACACCTGGCTCAGAGTCCTCTTGAATCTGGCAAAAACTTGATTTGGAATTTTCTAAAATTTCTCTTATTTGTTGTAGCAACTGTATTTCATGGGAAGATATTTCTCTGATAGATCGATGCTCTTCTTTTTTATCTCTTTGTATCACCTATAAATGCTCCCATTTGCACACTCTTAAAGAAGTAAGCTTAGGATAGTTTCTTTTTTTTTTTTTTTTAGACGGAGTCTCGCTCTGTCGCCCAGGCTGGAGTGCAGTGGCGGGATCTCGGCTCACTGCAAGCCCCGCCTCCCGGGTTCACGCCATTCTCCTGCCTCAGCCTCCCAAGTAGCTGGGACTACAGGCGCCCGCCACTACGCCCGGCTAATTTTTTGTATTTTTAGTAGAGACGGGGTTTCACCGTTTTAGCCGGGATGGTCTCGATCTCCTGACCTCGTGATCCGCCCGCCTCGGCCTCCCAAAGTGCTGGGATTACAGGCGTGAGCCACCGCGCCCGGCCAGGATAGTTTCTGATTGCCTCACATGGAAAGTTAAAATGTAATCTCTCAGAGTTTTTGTGATGTCTAAATGAAGGCTATATAGACAATTTTGATTTTTAAGTTGTTTTTCTTTGTTACTTCGGGTATCAAACTGGGGATAGTGTGGAAACCACCAGTTCCTGAGGTAGTTGTGGCTAGGAAATTCACTTGTATACTAAAGAGCTTCATTTTTTTGTTTGCTGTGTAATTAGAAAGTAACTGGGTCTATGCCTTTATTCTTTGCATGGCAAGGTTTGCCTTGTTAGATACCAGACAAGGTAGCACCCCGGATATTTGCCAGGCATATTTATCCTTGTCAAAGGCACATTGGCAGTAAATGACACTGAAGGATCCTGCTTGGTATGACTTCGGTTATCAAGTAAACTGTTGCAGAGTTGTTGGGGGGATCCAGATATACCCCCATATCATCTCTTGCTTCACCTCATCTCTGACCCTAGCCCCTGAGTAAATAGGTGGGTTCTGCTGGGGTCCACTTCTTGGTTAGCTGTTCCTTCTTCTGACTGAGTTGTAATAGATAGGACTGGCCACTTTTTCAAACTAATCTCATCTGTATTGTATCTTGCAAAAATTCCCCTGTCTGTAGCATGTGACTGACCCTTTTCATTGATTTCTAGCACAGTATAGTGTTCTTCGTACTTTTATCTTTCGTGGCTGATAGAGGGAATCTAACCGTTTGCCGTAGAGGAGATTAGATAAGACTGCTGATGTCAATATTGTGCTTGGAAGATGTTTCTTCTGAATCTCAGTGGGGGGTTCAGAAACTTATCACCTCTCCAGTAGCTTCCCATCACACTGAGAATAAAATGCCAGCTCCTAACTGTGACCTAAAAGAGCTTCCTTCTCCCACTTCATCTCTGACCACTCCCTCTTTCTCTTTGTACCCCAGCCATACTGACCTTATTGCTCCTTAAACAGGCCAAGCTATGTCCTCCTCAGGAACTTATGCTACTCGCTGTGCTTTCTGCCTGGAATGCTACACTCCAGATTTTTACATAGTTCACTCATTCATATCATTCATATCCCTACCTAAATGTCATTTCAGAGAAGTCTTTATAACACCTTATCAGAAATAACCCACACAACTTCTACATCCTTAAGCAGCTTTGCTTTTCTTTATAGCACTTATCACAATCTGAAATGCTATTGTGTTTTTTGTTTTGGTTTTGTTTGAGATGGAGTCTCACTCTGTCGCCCAGGCTGGAGAGCAATGGCACGATCTCGGCTCACTGCAACCTCCACCTCCTGGGTTCAAGTGATTCTCGCGCCTCAGCCTCCTAAGCAGCTGGGATTACAGGTGCGCACCACCATGCCTGGCTAATTTTTGTACTTTTAGTAGAGACGGGGTTTCACCATGTTGGACAGGCTGGTCTCGAACTCCTGACCTTAGGTGATTCACCTGCCTCGGCCTTCCAAAGTGCTGGGATTATAGGCATGAGCCACCATGCCTATATGAGCCACAATATGAAACACCCATATTGTGTTTTATCTGTATACTTTTTAAACATTTGTTTTCTTGCTAGAATGTAAGCTCTATGGGGTCAGGGACTCTTGTCTGTCTTGTTTCTTACTCTGTCCCCAGACAGAGTCCCCAGACTCTAGAATAGTGCCAGGTGCCCAATAAGTTTTTGTTGAATGAATAAATAAATGAATGAAAGTTAGCTTAAATTCTTAAGAGTTAAATGGGATTTTGGCTATAACCTCACCATCTACAAAGCCTGGGAAAAGAAAAAAGAAAAAAACTAGTGCTGAATCCAATGTTTAGGGTTTTAGTGTATTGCTTCTTCTTTAAAGGAAGGAGATGGTGCCTGAGACTAGCCTGGGTGCTGAGACCACAACTCAGGCAATTTAAGTTTATGAAGGCCGATCCCACCCTACCCTTTCCAAAACTCTAGGACTACTTGCTGGAATGTGTATTCTAAAATCATACTTCTGAATATTTTTGAAATTGAAGTGCATCTTATAATAAGTATACTCATTTATTTTGCTTTTTTCCCCTAAAAAGCTGTTAAGGAAAGCTAGGGATATGGTGTGTCTTTTATAATTGAAGGCTTCTTCAGTTAAAAAAGACAGTATTTTACAAAATTCCTCATTTATAGAACCTTAGATTGATAATGTTACAGCTAGTAGGCATTAAAGATCCAGTGAATTTTAAAGCCTTTTCCATTTTTTTCCCCTCTTAAGCCTGGTCTTTTTGGAAAGAAATCTTTAGAGAAACTATAAACAAACCAGTGGATAAAAGCACAGTGGGGTGATAGGTGACTCAGCACGCTCACCCCTCCGCTATGCTGACCTACACTTTCAAGGGAGCTTCCGGGAGAGTAATTTGAAACTTAATGGAAAGATACAAGCCGGTTCCTTCATCTTTGGCTGGTGCAAAAACCAGTGTTAAAAGTCTTTTATTAAACAACAACTTTATGAGATATAATTGACATAATAAACTGCATATATGTAAATATAACATTTGGTAAGTTTCAACATGTGTATACACTCACGAAGCCATCACTGCTATCAAGACATTGAACATATTCATCATCCCGAAAAGTCTTCTTATGCACCTTTGTAAATTCTTCCTCCCTACCTCACCTCACCTCATCCCCATCTCCAGGCAACCCTTATTTGCTTCATGTCACTATAGTGATTAGTTTGCATTTTCTGCAATTTTACATGAATGACATCATACACACTTTTTTTAAATCTGGCTTCTTTCAATCAGCATAATTATTTTGAGATTTATCCATATTGCTGCACATATCAATAGTTTTTTTCTTTTCATTGCCGAGTAGTATTCCGTGGTATGGGTATTCTCAATCTGTTTGTCCATTTGCTGCAGATGGACATTTGAATGGTTTCCAGTTTTGGGCTATTACAAATGAAGCTCTATGAAGCTCTATGAATATTCCTGTATGAGTCTTAATATGGACACATGTTTTCTTTCATTGTTTTTGTGTAAATACCTAGAAGCCGAATGGCTGGATCTGATCATTGGTATGTGTTTAACTTTTCAAGCAACTCCCTACTTGTCTTTCAAAGTGGCTGTACTGTACAATAGTTTCAGTGGCTACATAACCTCACCAACACTCAGTATGTTCAGTTTCCTAAAAGTTTAGCCATTCTAATGAATGTGTGGTAGTATCTCATTGTGGTTTTAATTTTCATTTCCCTTATGACTAATAATGTTAAGCATCCTTTAATGTACTTATTTGCCATTGTTACTGAGCAAAAGAGGCTCCTTTCCCAATGTGCTAGAAGCCAATGCTATGATACTGGGTTTTTGAGAAAAGAAAAACTTTTTTTTTTTTTTTTTAAGACAGAGTTTCGCTCTTGTAGCCCAGTCTGGAGTGCAATGGCTCGATCTTGGCTCACTGCAACCTCCGCCTCCCGGGTTCAAGTGATTCTTCTGCCTCAGCCTCCCTAGTGGCTGGGATTACAGGCACCCACCACCACACCACAGCCAGCTAATTTTTTGTGTTTTTAGTAGAGATGGGGTTTCACGATGTTGGCCAGGCTGGTCTCAAACTCCCAGCCTCAGGTGATCTACCCGCCTCAGCCTCCCAAAGTACTGGGATAACAGGCGTGAGCCACCGTGCCCAGCTAAGAATAACTTTTGATTGCAGGTCGACCAACAAGGAGACAGGTGTCCAACTCAAATCTATCTCCTCATGCTGGCTATAAGGCAATACTTTTATGAAGGTTTAGGGGATGGATTCTGGGATTTACCCCTGATTGGTAGAGGGAAAGGGGAGGTCTGGAAAGTCCTCTGGCATGCAGTTATCTCTTCATGCTACCTCCTGGAATACATGTGCAAATTTGGGGGAAGTTAGTATGAAACATGCAGTGGAAATTCAGGCTGTGATGTCAGCAAGCTTGTTCTACACAGACTCCAGTTGGCCATAATGGTTCCAACCGATTTCAGCCAGTTGTTATCCTACAAGCAGAGAGAGTTTTCGTGTTTCAGCGAGTTGTTCCTTTTCTTATCTGCCATCCTGAAAACTGAAGAATTTCTGTGTCATATTTTTCTTTAATCATTTGCGACACTGTTCCACAATCTTCTCTGGTGGCGTGTTTGTAATCGCTACTTACGTTTTTTAATTGCCCTCATTTTTGTTTTTGTTTTTAAGATTCTGCAGTAATGACAATTTTTTGAAGCATTGTCTATGCTATTTGTCTATTCTAAAATTTTGTTGACAGAACTACTAAATAAATAGCATTGTTAATGGGAAACGAAGGAGAACTGTGTTAATCTAACAGAGAACTATCACAATAGGTTATTTATGGCACAGACAGAGGCTGTTTACACTTATTCAGGCTGGTAGAACTGACGGTGAATGGGTGAAAATGATGGCATATTATTGGGAGGCAATGGGAGATAGTGAAAGAAGCCAGAAAGGGGAATATTGATTTTTGCCCCATCCAAAGTCTCCCCTCCCACACTGCCTATATTATGCCAACCCTTCATAGTCTTTCCCCATCTCCCCAATTTTTTCATTATTATGGATTTTTTATTTTGTAGCAAATATGTTAAGGAGATGAAGACTAGCTCAGCAGCAGAATCTAGCTATTGGCTATTCATTGAGATAAGCTTGCCAAGAATTTTCAATAGTGGACCACGTGATCAGAAATCCATGTGTTGGCAAAATAAAGTTTATATTGATTTCAGTATTAGTGCATAGCAAGTTTTATGTTAAAAATAAGAAGAACTTTATACAAAAGTGCAGTTATAAACCTAGAGTTTGAACTTGTCCTCTAGGAAGCACGTAGTAGAGTGAGGACACTGACCTAGGTTGGGGACAAAACTGTCATTTTGTCATGGAGTAGAATGAATGTGATCCTGGGGAAAGGACTGAAGGGCTTGGGCAAAGGGGAAGTGAAGATTATATTCAAGATGAATAAGAAGAGCAGAAGCCAGCTCTCCTCCCGTTTCCACCTTGGTCTGGAGAGGAAGAGGCGTTTCTGCCACCCCCATCCCCTCTGTCTTCCTTACTTTTTAACTTCTTCCAGAGGGAGGAGGAATTACTCAAGTACTCAAAGCACAAGGCAATTACCAAACCACATTTCGCTAGAGGGCAGAGTCTCTAAGCTGATGTTCCCTCATTGGCAATTACAGTCCCCTTATTGCAGCACACTGGGAAAGGGCGTGGCCGTTCTCTGTCCTGTGCATATGTACTATGTGCATAAATTGTATTTGGTCTGTTCCAGATCTTTTCATCACCCAGGGTGGAAGTGAGGGAAACCTTCCTTAGGTTTCCAAACCTACATGGTATAATTTGATTTGGTTTAACAAATATCTCTGCCCTGGGAGAGAAATGGGCGCTTAGTTAATAAAAAGGTATTTTATTTTCTATTTGGTATTATTCTCATGTGCATATTCCTTAATTAGAAATCCCTGAGTGGTAGGATTTCATCTCCTAAACTGAACCCCTGACACTAACATAATTAATCTTAAACAAAATTTCTATCCAAAGGGAGCCAAAAAAAGAGGCAATCTTTTTCTAAGCTTGTATCTAAGCCAGAAGGACTACAACTAGGGTCAAGGTAACAGGACAAGTTCATAGGGTAGATAGTGAAACCAGGTTCCCTTCGTTGCATCATCTATGGAAAGAGGACCATCATTTATCCATTCACCCACTCATCAACCAATCCATCCTTTCATCCATTCAGTCGTTAACACATTTCTGAATTCCAGGCACTGGGCTAAGACTTCATAATACAGTAATAAACAAGTTGGTTATTGTTTGAAGGAGGATGGAAAAAAATGGGGAAAGAGGGTGTATGTAAATTTGTCATGAAATATATATATATATATATATATATATATATATATATATATATGAGTCAGAGAGAATGGCTCATGGCTCATACATATATTATATATTATATATATATAATGACTCATATATATAATGACACACACATACACATACACACACACACATGAGTCAGATAGAATGGGAAAGATGGCACAGCATTTTCTTCCACCCTTGACCTATGTTGGAGCCTACAACAGAGTGTACTCATGAGAAAGTTTTTGAGATTCTGGATGTAAGCTGTACTGATTGGAAGATCAAGTGACAAAACAAAGCAACAGTTAGAAAGAGGGTCATTGTTTCCACTTTCCCCCAGGACCAAGTACTGACCTGTAAAGTAGATATCACTAGTATTCACCAAAATCTGTTCTTCTCCCTTTTCATATACATGAACCTCTCTGCACTTTTTAGCCCTCTTGCAGTTAAAGTAGAGCCATATTGATTAGTTCCAGCATTTGCAGCCTGAAGCAAAGAGCTAGTGAGTAACCACCATCAAGTTATCAATTTAAACCTGCTTAGTTGACCAGGGAGGCTTCATGGAAAACAGCTGTCCTAAAGGGTTGCCCAGATCTCTGTTAGATTTTGTGTCAGCAAGAAATAAACTTTTATCATGGTAAGCCACTGAGAAGACACTGGGTCTTGCTGCACCAGTCTACCACAGCCTGGAGAACTGATATTTGGGGAAGCATTAAAAAATAGTACCCCTGGCATAGGCACTGGTGGTTTCAAAATAGCTACTATAAGTGGGGGTAAAAGAGAGGCCTTTCCAGTTACTTTGCAAGGCAGTGTGGAGCCAGAACAGGAAAGGAAAGATAAAATCGATGCTCTGTAATGACTGCAGCTAGCAGACTTCTTTGTGCATACATACATGTAAGGTAGCTTTTTGCAGACTCCCAGAAATATTTAGTAGGACTTTTGGGGCTTGAGAAAGAGTGTTATCAACAAAGGAAACTCTGCATTATTTAATCTTAACATGACTGCTTACATCCAAAGACTGGCGACACATGGTGTCTTTAGGTGCTAACTGAGCTGTGGGATCGATTTCATTAGGGAGAGGTCACAATTCTGTTTCTAGTTGGCAGGAATGATTTTAGTTCCTGTCTTCATCCTTATTCCTTTCTTGAAGAGTAAAGGGTCACACATTGCTCAAATCTCTAGAAATTTCAGGATCTCCTGGGATTCATGTCAGACCCCCCTATATCTTTTCTGGGATACTGTGTTTTTTTGGAGAAAATAATTTAATTTCATTATCATGGTTTTTCTTCTTGAAACTGAATACAGACAGGAAAATACTTTCTGATGCAGATGTATTAACATTTGCATGCCAAAAAGAGCTTCAGAAATTTACAGCATGGTTTATACTATACATCAAAATCCATATGACTACTTTCTAAAATTGTGAATTTATTTTCAAAAAAATAAAAAGCTCTTCATGGGCCCCAAATCATCAATTCAAGACAATTCCACAATAGGTTGAAAATAAGCACAAGCTTCCGTTGCTATCTGGTCAATCCCATGTCCAATCTGAATTTGATTATCTGTATTTCCTTGAAAGTAGCAACAATGATCTTATTGTTTCCATGATGTTTCATGTTCAGCTGTTCAGATGTCCTATCGTATGAGAAAGAAAATGCAATCTAATGGGCCGCCAGGAATCTAAGAAGCTATGCCTCTCAAAGCCCTTTGATATCTTCAAACAATTAATCTTGTAGCAGCTAGAATATATTTTCAGTAATGTGCCTAACTTAACTATATGACTATATTAAAATAAATCTCCATGTTACTTCAATTTCTAAATAAAATGGCATGAGCAGAAAGGATATTAAAAATCTTGATCACTTCCCCCAGCAACAGGGCAGTTGCTGTTCACATTTTACCCAAGAGCTATCTATGTGCCTCTTCTTCCTAGCCAACAAAAGCCCCATCTTGTTTAGATGGTGGGTAGGGAGCCAGTGAGATCATAGAAGATGGGCCCCTATCCAAGCCCCAAGAGAATTAATTGCAACTGGGCTTGTTCTGTTTTCCTTTGCCTGTGATTGGTCTAGGAGTGGGCATGTGGCCTATTTCTGGCCCTATGAAGCAAAAGGAGAGGTCTGCTGGGAGACTTCCTGAAACTGCTCTTCCTGGAAGGAGGGAAACAAACAAAACAACAACAAAAGAACTTTACAAGAGAAAGCTTTTTATCCCAGCCCCTTCCTACTCCCATTGAATGCAGCTCTGTGAGGACACGATATTTGAAGCTGCAGTAGCTGAGGTGGCAAAAGATGGCAGAACAGAAGAGCAGACAGAATCTGGGTCCTAGATGACTTCATTGCACTGCTGCAACTGCCTTCTCCAGACCTCTTGCCAGGTGAGAAAATTAAATGTCATCATTGCTTAAGCCCCTGGGAGACTAGATTCTGTTACTTGCCACTGAATGCATCCTAATGCTGTAACTGTCTCTTGCACTGAAACCAACTTGCAAAATTTACAGCACAAACTCTGCCCATGTATGAAGAGAATGTAAAAAAGCATTGCAAACATCTCTTTTGGGAAAATAAATGGATAACACCATTTTTTCTTTTCATTTGAGTTGTCCTATCTTTGGCAAGTGAAAGCTGAAAAGCAGAATTTTCACATATAAATCAAATTTCCCCATTTCCCTCCTGGCAAGGGGTAAGAAACTCTTAGCCCATACATGCTTTCTAATTAGTTAAGAATTGGATTTCAAGCCCTACTCTTATTGTTCGGTTTATTCTGCTTAGTTCATTCAGATAAGAGAATCCTTGAAGGTAAGGTTTAGGGTAGTCAAACAGTTATGAACAATGGTTGTGAATTATGACATATTCCAGCATTTTGGAGCAGCAGCTTAGTCAGCTATCCTCAGAGCCAGTCTGAGGACTCTGACCAATACCAGTGTGGGTTGTCTAAACAAATTAATTTTTAAAAGTAAGGAATGTGTCTTTTCAGGCCTGTGGTTCCCTATGGAAACACTGACAAGAACAGGTGGAAGAAATATGTGGTCTTCGGTTAAAAACTCTTCAGGGTTCAAAGAAGGGCACTCTCACATCATGTGATGGGTGAGCTCTAGTCATTCTGTGAGAGGAACTCCAGGAGACCAGATCCAACTCGCAATCAGCTATAGTGAAGTTATGATATGAGAAGCACCAACTTGGCACAAGACTTGGGAAAGGCAATGAGGCAGCAGGCAAGCTTTAAGGGATGACACTTACCTTGAGGGAGCAAGGACAAGTTGTGACCTTCCCAGTCCTCTCTCCATTTGCAGATCAGCAAGCTTCTGTCAGCAAGGAGGGGTGGACAATGAAACTGGGTTCAGCTTGATTTGTTTTTTGAGACAGGTATGGCAAGGGGCTGCCAACAAGGTAAGTCATCTTTGGACAAGCCAAGTGCTTTGGGAAACAATTGTTTCTGAAAATAAGTGTTTGTGTCAAACATTCTCTTTGTTAGTAGGAGACATTTTTGTTGGATCATGTTGTCCTCAGCAAAAGAGGTTGCAGAGAAGTTAAGGAAGTTGGGATAACTTAGAGTCTCAGTGCTTTGGGGCAATTTACAGACAGCACTGTGTGATCCTCCCATCTCAGGACTTACATCATGTTGCTAACTCCCTCACTGGGGGCCATGGTTCTGAAAGGAAGAAAGCATGTCTTATTCACTCACCTTTGAGTCTCCAGCACTGAGCACAGCACCTGTCACTCAGTAGGCACTCAATAAATGTAAATTGATATGAAACATGACACGTGGTGCCTTTTACAGAACAAAAATTAATTTGTCCTAAAGGCCTCCAGGGATGCAATTCTGAATTTTAGTATGTGTCTACCTTAGGGTTGAGGTTAATGTTTAAGTGTGACAAGAAAGGGTTAGTTTGGCTGAAATAGTTCTTCCTGTGGTATTAACTGGTAAAATGAAATATAATGTCATTCTAATCTCTTCCAAGCCTTTCCTGATTCAAACATGGAAATGTGTTTCTGCAGATTGGGGCGTTTCAGCTAAAGGTTCAACGAGATTAAAAAGGAGAAAGCTTGAGTCGTTTGAGTCAATATCACAAACAGGATTTAGGTATTCATTAAGATAAGGATAAACTGCTAAATTTAGGTTTACTCATGATTAATTTGTTTGATGTATTTCCTTGCAGAATAATACATGAACTAGATTTTGAATGTGATACAGACACACACCATTTTTTACAATATATAGCTTAAAAATTTAGATGTATTCTATGTGTACAATCCAGAAAGGAGATGAAATCCTGCCTCCTCTTTTATAAACTTATTTGGAGGGGGAGCTAAATGGAAGCCAAATTTTTGCTGAACTCAAATTGGCCATGGATTCTGGATACACTGGGGCTGGAGAAGGGTATGGTTGAGAAGGACAAGAGGCATTGCACAAACACATTCCTGGAAATAAATCTACACAGACTGGTTGACTTGAAAACTGGTTAATCAGAAATTTTGCCCTGCTTCGGGTAAAGCTAGAAACATTGAATCCCAACTCTGTGAGTAACATGCCTAATAGGAAAACTGAAAATTCTGTGTATTTCTTTTCCAAAATTAAATGGCAGCCAACGTTTGCAGAAAAAAAAAAAAAAAAACAACCACAATGGGGAATTAGATTACAGCTGTTTGCTTAAAAATTGATAACTGATTTTGTTGTTTCTTTAATGGAAATATTTGTATTGTGCATTCTTGTTGTTGTCTGAAGAAAAATGGTGAGAATATTACAGTGCGACTGCAGAATACAAGTTTGATAGAACTAATCTGATTTACCTTAGATACACTCCTCATTCGGGAGAATTTATTTAACTGGTAATTTAATTTAGGTGGAGAGGCACTTTAATTGGAGTTGATTACTGTGGGATTTTTACATAAAGTACGATGCACTCTTGAGTTACAGCACCACATGATGTAAAATTGGGTAATTTTAAGCCACTGGATATTTTTATCCCAACTATAATAGAATTTGCTGAAAAATGCTTATTAACTGAAACTGTTTTCTAGGTTGGATACTATTTGGAAAATCTTTGGCACTATGTCAAAGATGGTTGGAAATTTACTAAAGCTAGCAGACCAAAAAACAAAACAAAACAAAACAAAAAGACTTAATTTATTAGGACTGCAGTGGTGATGTGTTGTCACTTCAGGACACCCCACTACCTGAATTGCAGCAGTGTTGCGAATCATCACTCTGCAGTGAATGGGAATTTTTGGTTTAGAGTTTAACAGATTTTCCTGGTCTTTCTCCTAGCGACTGACACAGAAATACGAAAGAATAAAATGATTCCAAAAAAAAAAAAAACACCTACATTAACCATTTGGGGGTAAAAACGATGAAAATGTAAAGGCAAATGATGAATTTATCAAAAAGAATGAAGGAACAGATAGCATATGTATGTAGGAACACAGTAGCTTTAAAATATCAGAAAGATGAAGGACAGAAATGCCAAGTGAAGCAGAGGGTTTCTACATTTGTCTTCTGCTTTTGCATGTCCCACATTCCCTTATGTAATAGATCTTTAATGGATTCCCTACTGTCACAGAACCTTTATAAGACCAGCCTATGGAGAATGCAAAGGAACTAAATAATGGACAGTTAACGTTCTGGAAAAGCAATTTATTATCTTGCTAGGAGCTGGCTTCTCATTGCATTTAGAATAAACTTTAAACAGCTATATCATCTTCCAGGCCTGATATGATCTGGCCCCTGCAAACTTACCTTCACATCTTCCACTCCCATCCTCATTCTTCAGGCTCTAGCTACACTGGCTTTCTTTCATCCTTGGACTTTCTACACTGGTTCTTTCTGCAAGGCTTTGCACTGCCATGCTCTCTCTCTGGAATGCTTTTCCTTTGACTAAATTTTTCCATGTAATTCAGGTCTTAGTTCAATTTTAATCTCCCCTAAGAGATTTCCCATCCTATCTAAAGCAGTCTATGCCCTTCCCTATCCCTAGGTCCCGCAATCACATTACCTAGTTAGATTTCCTTCAAACCTCTTGAAATTCCCTTATTTATTCTTTTGAGTTTTTTTCCACTTCACCTTCCCCATAGAACATGAGCTCCTCAGTGTCAGGGGTCTTCTGTTTCGTTCACTGCTATATCCCCAACACCTAGAATAGAACATGACACACAGTGAGCCATGAATGAATGAGAAAGAGTACAGGACTCACAGTGGAACTGCCTATGAACAAAAGGAATACTGGACAAAAAGAAATGGACTAGGGAAGAAAATCAGGAAGAAGAGGAACAAAGAATGGGGTCTAGGGACTGAGAATTGGTTATAGTGTACAATTTTAGCCCCTATAAAAAAGTTTTTTACATGCATTCCAAGCAGAGGGAATGGCAAGTGCTAAGAGGAAGTCTTTCCATCACTACACACAGCTGTTTTTTACTTTGTTGTTGTTAGTGGTTTTGTTTTCAGTGTGTGTGTTGGGAGTGGGGGGAGGATGGGTGTGAGGGATCTCTGCGTGTTTCTCTCAGGGGAAGGCTGGGTTTTCTCTTTCAGCCTACAGGTGTTGCTGCATGTTCTTGGGGTGGCCAATGGAGCACTAGACAGGAATACCACCCATGGCAGCTCTGCAACTTATTCTAAGACTTTTAGGGCAAGAGGCAGGAAAGAGTGAAGGAATGATCACCACATTGTACCAGGGGTATACCAGTGAGAGGTAAGATGATCTGGGTGGTAGCAGTGACCCCCACTTTTTTTACCCAGAAAAAGATGGATAAATGCTCTGACATTGCTGTGACCCAGGGATCTGTGGCCATGGTTGCTTGTGCAGGCAGCAGCCAATACTTCTGAATGGCTCCCTTGGGACTACAAAACTGTGTGTGGGCGCAGGGAGCCCATACTATTTGCCACATCAGAAAAATCCATTCATGAAAAGGAAAGACAGAGAATGATAAAAGTCTTCTCAGAAAGCCTTAGCAAAATGGGTGCTTTTATTTTCACAGACATGTCTATGCAATACACTCAGTCACAAGAGAGAGCTTCTTAAGCCTGACCATAATTTAAACTCTGAAAGGTGAGTGAGCCTGTTAAGAGACCTCCACCCTTCTAGTAACCTATATCCCTTGATATGGGAAGGATATCTTAGTTCTCCCTAGCCCCTTGCTTAGGATTAAGTGAGAGACTTCAGCTTTGGTGTAAAGCTGTCAGCTGCCCTAATCAAGGACAATACACAAAAATTAGACTCCTTATAAGAATAAGGGATTAAATGGAGGAAGATCTAGAAGTGGGTGGGAACAAAAGAGCAGAACTGAGCCTGCATCTGCAGAAAATGTCCAAAGACAACTGGCAGAGTTCACTCCATGGGGAAAAGGCATGTTAGTGTGTAGGTAGAGAAACTGGACAAGGAAGGATGGCCTTAGCCTTCCATAATGGAGAAGTCGGGCAGGGGATGTCTGCATGCAATAGACAACTGAATTAGAAAGAGCAGAAATGTAAACCAGCAGTGCTTCCCTATCTTGGGCCTGGCTAGCTTAAAGGGGCTCTACTGTCATTGGTCAAAAAACTTTCATGAGGAGATCCAATCACTAATGCAACAAACTCTAATGAGTTCTAAGTTGGAGAGAGCTCAGTTCTAAAGCTTGGGGGTAGACAGGTCACTGAGAGAGGAGGAATGAAGGAGTGGGATCTGAACATTGTAATAAGTCATCTAGTAGCTCTGATCACTTTGGACATTGCTGGGGGATACATAACAGCTCACTATAACATTACAACACATACTTATATCTGTTTGCTCCTCCAAACTAACATGACAATGTGTTTCTGCCATCTTAGCTTACAGAGACATGATCTAGTTCAGCTTATACTCAGATTTTACAAAAGAGACTTTGACCACATAGATATTCATAAAATTAATGTGGTTAAGAAAAAAGTGCAGGGGCTTGAAGTCAGAAGAGCTCCGTTCCCATTTTGGCTATGCTGCTGTTCAGGTTTGTGACCTGCAGAGCAGTTTAGCATCTCTGGGTCTCAATTTGTTCATCTGTAGAGCGTGGGTGATCAACCTTTATGTAATCCTTCTGTGTTGAGTGGGTCTCAAGATGGAAGCTCACTATGGGAATTTAAAAGCAAACTGTGGCATCGAAACAAACTGGACAATTGCTTGAACTCTAATATCATCATCCATCCTCATAAAGTAACTTGTTGGTCACTAGTCTGACAGTACTGTTAAAAGACATTTATTTGTAACTTTTGAGAAAATAATTTTCAGACTCTGATCTTAGAATAAGCTCATGAGGAGTCTCATTTCCAAGCTGGAGATCATTTCCAGTTTGAATGAACAATTCTTCTTTTTGGCTTGGGTGAACGTGGGGATAGGTGAAAGCTGAGCTGCACATCCTTCAGAGGTCACAATGAAAAGTCAGTCTTTATTCTAGCAGGGCTTGGTCATCTGGAATAGCTGGTACATAGGTGGCAGCTCCATGCCCTATCTCATACTTTAAACAACATCACCAATATCTTTTTCCGAAATAAGCTTGAGTTGTATATGTTTATTATAGGAGAGAAAAGTTTGCCAAGCGTCTTCTATGGACTAAGCACTTGCTAGGTGTTTTACATATATTCTGCCATTTAATCCTCAAGGCAACTTTAACATGTAAGTATTACTGTCCTCATTTTACAGGTGAAGAAATTGAGACCCAGAGTGATTATATGACCTGCCCAAGGTGGTCACGTCGTTAGGCCATGGCAGAGATCTGAAATAAAAGGTCAGGTCTTCTGACTTCAGTCCATGATTTTTTTTTTTTTTTTTCTATAACATCATGCTACCTAGAAGAAAAAGAAATGAAGGTAAGCAGTCAGCCAGGAAAGTCAGGAAAAATGATATGCTACTTGTAAAGAGCTCCCCTATATTGTATCATTCTGAAATGTCCAATTTTCAAAGAGTCAGAGTAGTACAGAAATGTTCAATGTTAAATCACTACTCAACATAAGCAATCTGACTTTGATGGTTCACAAGCTCTTCCAGATCTTGTCGTGCCTTAAAGTTCTCACTAACAATATCAATTATCAGTGCACTACAGATATATAGGAAAAGAAAATCCCAGGTAACAGAAAAGCCAGATCACCTGCCTCCAAGATGCCGGGCACTGCACGGCTTTTATCAGTTTTTATTACATCAGGTCAAGGAAACAAATGGAATCTATCCACATGGTCCTGCCTCGTTGGGCATATATTCTAAACATACATCCATTTTCATACCCAATGAGAAAGAACTCAATTCCAAAGGATCTCACCTTTCACAAAATTCTACCCTTAAGATCCTAAAACAGTCATATCACTGTGCACAAAATTTTTGGCAGTCACAAGCTCTAACACAAAGCAGAGCTTAAAAACAAATGGAGAATATAATCAGTGTTCAAATGCACCCTCACTGGGTGGGTCAGACTGCATGAGGCAGTGTGGCTGTGTGGAGGGAGAGGTCCGGACCTGTGGCAAACTGCTGCTCCTGCCAGGAGGCTACCAAAGCCAAGGCTCTTAACATATTGAGGTTCCTCAGCTGCCCCAGTGCCTATATCTCTAACAACAGTAAACAGTGAAATACCTGCAGGCAACCATGTCTAAATAAAGAGATAAATATTTGAATCTTCAAGAAGTGGCCAACTTCAGAAAGGCATCTCTTGGCACCCTAGAGGAGACTGGGATGAAAGTTGTACCGGAGACTGGAGAAGAGCCCGATGTGTTTCACGAGGTTCGGCTCCACTACATAGGCCCTCTCTCCCTTGGCCCTCAACAGCGAGTACAGTGCCATGTCCTTGCCAAAGCCCTTGTGGCAGTACACTTGGGACAGGTAGGTGAGGGTCCGGCGGGCCGCAGGTGCCGGGAAGAGCATGGCTGGGGTGCAACACTGAGAGGCAGGAACCACACTGTACAGGGAAGGACTCAGCCGCCGCAGTTCCAGGAAATAGTGCCGACCCACCAGCTCCACCAGACCCATGCTATACAGGGAGAAGAAGAGCATTACAGGCCAGCTAAACCCTGGGCGGCTGGCAAACCTCATGTATATCCAGGTTAGTAAGGGCCCCAGCAACATGCCTACACCAACCCATTCCAGGATCCGCATGGGCTCTGGATTGATGTAGTGCTGGAGCCTCTCGGGGTGATACAGCTTGAGATAAAGGGCATCTCTGAGATGTGGCTCAGAGAAGCGAGCCCGCAGAAGGTGCTCCAAGACTGGGAAGATCTGCTCTTCTGGTACAGCATCGTCTTCTACCATCAGGACGTAGTCTGGGTTGTAGGTCTGCAGGGATGACTCCAGGCAATAGACATAGTCCTGCTTCTCTTTCTCAAACGAGTTGGTCGAAGGGTCATCACCATAATCATCCTCAGTGCCCTCATAGCGATTGGCCACAGGGACATACTTGGAGAGCAACTTGGCATCAAAATGGCTCACACTACGCTCCACGTTGCACAGGAAGAGTTGGTGCCCCTCGCACTGGGGGCCACATTGCTGAAGAAGCCGGTGGAACTGGGACACAACCTGCAGGACGTAGTGGAAGCCAGGCTGCCTGTCCACAGTGATGATGGTGATCACCAGCCAGGGCCGGGGGGTGGCCTGCCAGACAATGGGCACTGAGCCATTGGCAGAGGGAAGCTCCTCAAAATAGTGGAGGGCAGCCTCACCCTCTTTCAAGCTTTGCTGCAGGAACTCTTGGCTCATTTGGTTCAGATGCCAATGGCGCAGATAGAAGTAAGAGTGTAGAAGTCGGTGACAGGCCAGGGGGGCCAGCAGGCCAAACGTCACCACTGTTAGGATGAAGAGCTGGACAGCAGTGCTGCCCCAGGAGAGTCGCCGCAGCCTCCGGAGGAGCATGGCAGCTGGAGAGGTTGAAGTGCTCATGAGGTCAACTTTTGTTCATGTCTGGTCCCAAGAAAAAACCATCCTGGAACTCAGGCCAGAGTCATCAGAAATCAAACCTAAAGAGAGAGGAAGTAGGGAATGGTAAGAGTAACTTAAAAAAACAAACAAACAAACAAACAAAAAAACAAAAGGACAAGAACTGAGCTCAGCACATATCAAACCAGAAATTATAATAGGAGGCTCTGTAGCTTCTACAGACTCTAAAGTATTTTCTACAGTAAACCATTCTTTGGTTGTGTCTGCTAACAACCTCTGGATGTTTTTATTATTTCTATGAGTAATACGATCTCGGTGCATTCAACCAAATCATCACGCCTAAAGATACTTAGTTAGGTTTACAATGCCAGAAAATCTCCAGGTAGGCTGTTGGGATCATTATTTCTATTCACCAGCTACACAGACAATGGGTTCTTAAAACGGGGGCAAAAAAGCAAGGCTTGGCACAAAGGAAATATACACATTTAGAGCAAGTTCCAGAATAAGGGCCCAGAAAATACTTGTTGATTAACTGTGCATATAGCAATTTCCAAAAAAAACTTGTCCAACAAGAGAAGGAATACTTAGGATTCTCTGAAGTATCTTTGTTATTTAATGTCATTTTCCATTCATATGCTTCTAATCTCACACAACTATACTTAACATTGCATATTAATTTAATCCTGATTGTTCTCCCATTTTATTTTTATAGATCATGGGAACCAATGAGAGGAAGTATTTCCCATAAGCAAGCAAACTCTAGAGCCCCAGGCTTGGGGAGGGAGGAAACATCTGGAGGAAGATCCATGAGTAGCTTTTCAATGAGGGAGCGGGGGGGGAAAGGCAGAGGTGAATATGGAAGAGACAGTTGCCCTCAGTTTGGTCCAGGAAAAAATGCTGTGTGATATGATGATTCAGAGCATGGGCCTGAGGCCAGGCTCATATTGGTGTGAATCCTAGCTCTGCCTCTCATTTGGTGGGAAGTTTACCTCTCCATATCTTATATTTCTTAGCTCTAAAATGGAAATAATAATATCTGTCTCATAGGGTTACTGTGAATATTAAATGTGTTAGAAAGCAAAATAATGCAGAGTAAAAATGCCATTAAAATCTATCCATGTGTTCAAACTCACAAAAATATTTTAGAAGTAAGCAGGTCTAATATTCTGATGGAAAACAGACTAGTGCCAAAAAACAGAATGAAAAGGGCAAAGCCAGTATAAAATAATAATTGCTAGTAAGGTCAATGCAAAACTAAATGGTGTCTGCAGTACAGAAAGTAAATCTGTTGCCTCAGACGCATCATAAGGTTTACACACATTTGGAGGAAAACTGTATAGTTTGTGAGTTATTGCAAAGGGAGGATTGCCCAGGAACCATACGAGGCTGCTGTGGAGCAGACTCAGCCAGTGCTCTCATATCCATGGTCTCCCCTTGGGCACACAGAAAGACCTCATTTCCTAGTTTGCCTTCTCCAGGTGGAGTCATGTGACTAGGGCTTGTCAGCAAAGTGACAGGTGTCACACCTGGGACAAGGTAGTTGAGAACAGATGTGCCATCTCGACTTTCTCTTTCCCCATCTGCCAGCTGAATGGAGAGCCCTGGTGGATCTAGAGGAGGTACAGCCACCAGATGGCAGAAGCCTGGGTCCTTGAATCCTTTACATACATATCCCAGTGTTGGGACGGCATGGAACAGATGTCCCTTCCGCTGCCCACCTCCCAGTACCCTCCCAAACTAGAGTGGACTGTGTTGTGAGCAATACATAAACCACTGTGTCTAGACACCAATAATTTTTGGACTTTATTACAGCAGTTAGCCTACTCTGCCCTCTACAGTTGTGTAGAATACCAAATGTACAGTGACATGGTTAATTTCTCAAGTAGAGAAACAAGTTTCATTTCAGCCACAGAAGCAGATTGTACTATGGGACTCCAAAGGTGAGACAGACTATCCTAGTACTAAGAGATCTGGATAGTACCCAAAGAGGGAACAAAGCAAGGAGAGGTTTGAATTATGCAACCCCAGTCTTGCTGGTTTGTGAACATCCAGCATATTGCAGACTGGTTGCTTCTTCCTCTGCTCTGCTCAGCGCAATGGAGTTAACAAACCATGTGGTTGAACGTGATTGAACGTGGCCTCACCACTTCCACATCACTGCTGATGGAAGCCAATACTAGAATTGGGCTGAACTCCCACTCCTGCAGTATTGGCCTTGGAAAAGGAGGCATTCGAGTGGATTTCTGCTCATACTATTATCCCTGCCTTTGTTATTACCACAAGGGAGCTGGATCAATCTAGAGGAGGGAACTAGAGACAATGAGATAGGGCAGGCAGTTTGGAAAATGCCAGGCACATAGTAAAGGCTATCACTTACTATGATATGTCAGGGGGGAAAGAAATGGAAACACCTAGAACTGACATCAGGAGAACCTTTGGTCCCAGGGAATTTATCCTACTGGGGACAATAAAATCATTAACATCTCACATAGTCCTTTACTTTAAAACTACGTCTGTGAGACTGCTGTTCTACTGACAATCAGGAAAAGAGAGGGATTTGGTTCAGAGGACACATGGTCCCTACCTATATTGATCAGCTTTGCTGGGGTGATTAACAGCCTCAAATCTTTATAACTTAAAGTGATAACATGTATTTCTTGCATACGGGTTTGTGGATAGCTGTGGCTCAGTTGGGGTCAGCTCCAGAATGTAGGTCAGAATTAGCTCATGCCACATGCCCCTCCTTCTAGATCAAGCTGCAGAGGAAACAGCCACCTGGGGCGTGTTCTTACGTTGCCTGGAAGCTGCACAAGAGGCCAAGTCAAAACATGCAGGTACATTTACATCCTTGTTTCAGTGTGCCACAAATCAAGTCCACTCATCATTCATTGGCCAAAACAATGGGACAGGAAGATTTACTCCTCCCACAGAGCAGAAGGAGGGGAAAATGAAGATTCAATAGAAAAAAAAAAGGCAACAGGCCAATTTCTAAATCCTCAGGAGAAAAGAAAGCATCTAGCAATCTGCTCACGGAGTATGGAAATTTTTTTTAGAATGCTTACAGGGCTTAAGACCCGGCCCCCAACCCCAATCATTACACACTACACGAATAAGGACAGGCTTCAGTAATGATCCCCAAAATCTCAGTGGCTTATAAGAACTAAGGTTTAATTCTTGTTCATAGTACTTGTCCTTTACAGGTCAATTGTGCCTCTGTTGCCTGTTGTTTGTACTCTAGGACCCAGGCAGATAGAACTGTTTTTTGTTGTTGTTGTTGTTTGTTTGTTTGTTTGTTTTTAACATTGCTGGTTTTGTGGTAGAGAGAAAAAAGGGGAATAGTGCACCACAAGCTGGCTCTCAAAGCCACTGCTCAAAAGTGACACAGATCACTTCCACCCACATTTCACTGACTGGAACAAATCACATAATAACTCAAATTCAACAGAGCAGAAGGGAGTGCCAAAAGATACATGGCCACACCTGAGACCAATGACTGGAGAAATATTTGTATTCCAGGGAGGGGCAGAAAATGTACTCCAGGGAGGGGCATTTTGAACATTAATGCAATCTACCACACCCACCTAGGACACAGGAGCTGGGATCAGATCCTTCATTCAAGATTAGATGACTGCTTTGCTGAAAATCCAACCACATGGAGTTATGTAGTCATTCAGGAGTATGTTCTTGTTTACTTTTTAAAACATTTTTTTAAAAGATTTAACCAATTGTTGCACAGTAGCCTGTGGTGTCCAATGGCACCTATAATTTATTTCACCTTACTGATCTGGTTTTAAGAAGAATGGCCAGCTGGATGTGGTGCCTGAAGCCTGTAATCCCAGCACTTTAGGAGGCTGAGGCAGGTGGATGGCTTGAGCCCAGGAGATTGAGACCAGCCTGGGCAACATGGCAAAACCTAGTCTCAACAAAAGATACAAAAATTAGCCAGGCATGGTAGCATGTTCCTGTAGTCCTAGCTACTCAGTAGGCTGAGGCAGGAGGATTGCCTGAGCCCCAGCAGGTCGAGGCCGCAGTGAGCTGTGATCGCACCACCGCACTCCAGCCTGGTTGACAGAGAAAAACCCTGTCTCAAACAAAAACAAACAAACACACAAACAAAAAAAGATAAAAGATAAATGGCCTTAGGGGAACAGATATAAAAACATAGGATTTTTCACTGCTAGTTTGGGGAAGGAGTTTTTTTACTCCCAGCCCAATCATAAGGGTGAGACAAGAGGGCTATGTCTATGTTACCACTCTGATTGTCTTTTTCCAGAATTCCAGTTGCCCATGATGTCACAGGCTGAGGCCCACACTCCAGAGACACTGTGGACTGACTGGCACCTATGAGCTGACCTAATAACAGTTACACCATTACAGCTCCGATTCTACAGAACAATACATATCCAGTTCTTATCTATGCTTTGCATGTGCTCTTTGAAACACAACCCTTCCCTAAACAGAATTCTCTACCTGTTACCATATCTAGAGTGTAGGGCTCAGGGAAGACAGTAAAGGACACAGACTCTGAGAAATGAACATGAACTAGGGCTTAGATGAATAAATGGAGCTACAACAATAGTTATATTTTAGTGCAACTTCTGAAAATTAAACTAAAGGATCCACGGGTGTGGAAGACACAATACCAGGGTGTGAGTCAGGGGATGAGTGCTCAAGAATGTTCTGTGTTTCCCAAATCCACTATATGAATGGCACGACCACTTTCCCAGGCAACTCAGTCTAAAACACTAGTTAGTTCTAACTTCTCACCTCCACGCAGTCACTTCCTAATCCCACCTCTACGGCCTCTTTTATTATGCCTCTCTTTTCCCCTCGCCTTCCCCTTGTCAAGCTTTCCTCCCTGCCACACTCTAGTTCCTCCTCAGCACCTCCAAGCCAGCTGATTGCAACAGGCTCCTAACAGAGCTTCTGACCTCCAGAATGAGCAACACAAGCCAAAAGATCTAGGTCCAATTCTCGTCCCAACACTCACTAATTTGATCAATTTGTATAAAAAAATCATTTATCTCTCTGAGCCTATTTTATTTCTCTGTGAAACAGGAAAATAAAAGATACTTCAACCAGGCGCGGTGGCTCACACCGGTAATCCCACCACTTTGGGACGCCGAGGCAGGCGGATCACGAGGTCAGGAGATCGAGACCATCCTGGCAAACATGGTGAAACGCCATCTCTACTAAAAATACAATAATTAGCTGGGTGTGGTGGCACGTGCCTGTAATCCCAGCTACTCAGGAGGCTGAGGCAGGAGAATCGCTTGAACCAGGTAGTCGGAGGTTGCAGTGAGCCAGATTATGCCACTGCACTCCAGCCTGGCAACACAGTGAGACTGTGACGATGAAGAGACAACAGCTATGATAGCCCTTTGTCAGGCATAGGACACTGTGCAAATGATGGTGATGTTTTACTTGATCAGCATCCATCTGATACTCTGAAGCATAAGTCAGAACATGGCACTCTTTTCTGTAAAACTATTCAATGATTCCCCCATGACTGTAGAATAAAGTCCAAATTATTTGCCAAGATTCTTCACAATCCAGTTCCAACTATCTTCCCAGCTGCATTTTTGCTCCTCACACTGTCTAACTCAACCATCAAGAATTAGCTCAAAAGGTACCTCTTCCAAAACCCAACCCTGACCTTTCCAACCAGAAAGAATCTCTTTTTTTCCCCTCAAGTACTGGGGCCCTTTCTATGAACTTTTCCTCCAGGGCATTCATTTGTCACTTTCTACTTCAGACTCATCTATTTATAGCTACCGCTTATTAAGGCCATACTACATATCCCAATGTTGTGCTAGACCCTTGCATCTATTTCTTCTGAACAAAATAGCAACTCTCAAAATAGCAATGGAATTAATCCCATTTAGTTGACAAAACTGATGCTACCAAGTTGCAAGAGGAAATTCAAGGACAAGGATAAATTTCAAAGCTCATGTTTTTCTATGATGCCTGTTGTCTTCCATGGCCTTGTTTATGGTCCTTGACTTACGATCTGATTGGACTCTTGAATCCTTTTTTAGTAGATTCAGTCTGATTTATCTTTGGTATCCCTCACAGACCCAGCACAGAACTATGCATAGAAGATGCTCAATGCTTGTTAAGCAAATAATTGGCTTCTTTTGACCTCTATGGGTCTCAGGTCCTCAGCTATAAAATTGGTAGTATCAAAGAGCTGGTCATATACTGTGTAGAGATCGACTTATTTGTAAATGTTTCCAGAACACTTATGTGCCAGGCACTGTTCTAAGCATCTCATCTATCGATCCTCATAAAAAGCCTCCAAGAAGTATGACTATTAAGCCCATTTTATACTTTAGAAAACTAAGTTTTTAAGCAGGGTGGCAAAACTTGAACCCAGGCAGACTGTGTCCAGAACCCACATTCTCAACCAATATGCACTACTGCCTACATAAATTTGGAGCCCAGGAAAATCAACTGAAAAACCATTAGAAATGGCAATAGACTCAAAACATGGTTGGTACCAGAATTAATATGTAAAAATAATATATAATATACATAGCAAGTATATATACACATGTACTATATATATGCATTACATATCCATATCTGTATCTATATTATCTATATTATAATGACTGCTTTCATGTACATGATCACCAATGAACTAAGGGAGTAAAAGATCCCAGTCAAAAGGGAAAAAAATAAGCAACTCAAATATCTAGAAATAAATTTCAGAAATATGCAGAATATACACACATACTACAAAATTCTACCAAAGGGTAATTAAAAAGTCATTAATAAACAGAAAAATAATGCTTAGGTGGAAAGACTTGGTAATAGAGCTCCCTTTCTCCATAATTAATCTCTATATTTAACATCTGAATTTAATTTACTTCGAGGGAGTGTCACAGTTCAACAACTAGGCACTTTAATATAAATTGGTGCAATCTTTGGAGGAAATGTTGGGGTGTTGGGGCAGTATCTATAAAAATTTTATAAGTGCATCCCCTTTGACATAACGATCCTACTTCTAGGAATCTACTCTGCAGAAATGCCAACACATGCTACCAAAGATGGATAAGAAATGTTGAGTGCTGTTTTGTATGCAGTAGGAAGAAAAAGAGAAAGAGGGGCAGAGGAACAAAGGGAGAAAGGGAAGAAAGGAAGGAAGGAAGAAAAAGGAAAGAAGACAGAAAGAGAGAAGGAGAGAGTGAGGAAGAGGGTGGGAGGGTGGAAGGAAGAAAGGAAGAACTGCAGGCAAATGAAATGCCTAGCAAAGGGAACAGATTTTTAGAGAATCATAAAAGGGTATGCTGTGGAAATGTTAAGAAGAGAAAGGTTTAAATATGTTGACATAAAAGAAATCTTAGCTAGGTTTGTGCTTTGGACTGAATGTTTGTCCTCCTCCTGCCCAGCCAAAATTCGTGTTATAAATCCTAATCTCCAATATGATGGTATTTGGAGATGGGGTCTTTGGAAGGTAATCAGGTCATAAGGGTGCAGACCTCAGTAATGCATGTTCTTTATTAGTGTCCTTATAAGAAAAGACAGGAGAGATCACTTCTCTTCTCTGCTTTCTCACATGTAAACCGGAAAGAGAGCCCTCACCAAAACTTGACCATGCTGGCACCCTGATCTGGAACTTCCAGCTTTCAGAATTTTGAGAGATAAATGTGTCTGTTGTTTAAGCCACCTAGTCTTTGAGAATGTGTTACAGCAGCTCAAGTAGACTAAGACCAGAAGGGAGAAATGCAAACTATATCAGTGCAAATTACAGAAAAATGTACAGAGATATGACCATTTTATTTTTAATGTGGAGTATAATTTAGTGAAGGAGAAAAGAAGGGTATGGGGATGGCAATTTCCTGTTTTGATATCTACACTTCTGCAAAGATCATTACTTTTATAATCATAATTAAGCATTTGATTCAACACTGAGTCTTGTGTTAGACACTGGGAAGGTGAACATGACAGTCAGGGCACCTGTTAAGTCCATTTTTAAATTTGTGATTTAAGTTGCTATAGCTATAATAAATTAAATGATGTATATATATATCTGTTTGTGGATTTTGGCATCTATCTCTCTCTGCATTGTGGTGCCAGGGCCATGTTATTTTCATTATGAAAGCTTTATAACAGGTTTTAATATCTGACTAGGCAAATTCTCTCTCATTACCCAGGATGATAATTTTCTAGGCCTTTAAAAATTAATTTTATTGAGGTGCAGTTTACATACAGTACAATGCACCACTTAAATATATATATATTTCGATGAGTTTTGTCAAATTTATACGCCCATATAACCATCAAAATAAAAAATTGACCAAAGTATCCAAAAGATCATTTGGAATTAGAACTAGTAAAAATTAACAGAAAATACTCGCTATAGTGCAACACGTGACAAAGAATTACTACTTCAATGTGTAATACACATAAAGTGTTTAAAAGTCAGGAGGAGAAAGATACTCCAACTGAAAAATGGGCAGAAGAATTAACAATCAACTCACCTACAGAAATGCAAAAGGCTACTACACAGAGGAAAAAGTGTTAATTCCCATGGGTAATCAAAGACATGCAAATTAAGACAAGATACCATTTTTTGGTCCACGCTTTTGATTTAAAACTTCAAATGTGTATACATAGAGAAAATTTTAAGATATGCAGAAAATCTAAACCATCTAGAAGTTGAAGTTTTAAGTTATTTTTATTTTGCTTCTCCTTTGGATTTTTGTTTACTGGATGTTTTCTAATATGTGTATCCTTACAACATTCTAATAATTCTAATAATGTTGATTTTCTCTTCTCACCTCATAAAGTACCTAGTGCAGTGCATTCTAGAAATTCACCCCTAAAAAAAAAAGCTATTTCCCCTATAGAAGGAGAAACACACACATGCACGCGCACACACACCCGCATGTGTTGCTAATGGTCCGCATGGTGAGATCATCATTGGAGCCGCCCTGCGGTCCCCCGGAGAGAGCCTGGGCCGAGCAGAGGATGCGGGTCACAACGACCCTGCAGGAGCTCACGCCCCAAGACACCGCGAGCGCAGTGCGACACTAGCGACGCCGGAGCCAAGGGCCAGAAAGAGGGCGAGACACACCCAGGTGGATCTAATTAACCCTCCCTCTTGGAAAAAGAATGGGGGACGATGTCCAGGGCCCTGGATCTAGTGTCTGTCGCTGACCTTGGGCAGTCCCTGCCACGCTTGAGCCTCAGTTTCCCACCCGTAGGCCGAGCTGACCGTCTCCATCGCTGCGCTCCTTCCCTTCTGCTGGTTTTTCCTGGTCCTGGGAGGGACGCCTTCCTCTGCCCAGTCGCCCTCCCCCAGCCCTTGGCTGCGAGGTCGCCCGCAGAAACCCAACACTGCTGCCGCGCTCTCGGCGCGCCCGGCGAACCTAAGGTGTGGACGCGCCGCGAGGGTCCCCTGCTTGCGGGCGGCCATTAGGCGCCAGGCCCCTTGGCGCTTCGGCCCTGCTAGGCTCGGCGAGGGTCTTACCCAGACTGGCACGCGCCCCGCTCGCGTCCTTCTATTGACCTGTCAGCGCAGCTGGCGCAGGCAAGGGCCAGGGAGGCGCCCCCGAGACACTCAACCATCCCCGCACTGATGCGGGCCCCTGCTGCCCTGGGGACCCCTGCGGGGTCCTCGCAATCCTCCGGCAGGAAGCGGTCGGAGCTGCGGGCAGGGCCGCTAGGCAACCCGCCTGCCCGAGGCGCACTGCCCGGGGCACAGGCCCTCTGCGATGACTCTCCCCAACCCCCAGCTGCCCTGCTTGTGCCAGCTGTGGCCACCCCTAATCCTTGTCCCCTCGCTCTAGTGTCCAGGGCTCCGACCACCGCGCCAGAAGGGCTGGGCAGATCGTGCGCAACAGAAACCTACCCGGTTGGGGCGACCAGCTCGGTCCCCTGCGCGCGCCGAGGGCCGCCTCTGGTATTGCCCAGGCTGGCTAGCTCATCCCGGTGGAGGCGCCATCTCCGGGGCCCGGAAGGAGCGGGCGCAGCGCGGTTTGGGTGTGCGCCGGAGCCTCACCTCCTCCCGCCTCGCAGCTCAGGCGCAGGGCTCCCCTTGCTCAGGCGGGCCATGTGACCCGCGAGCTGCGGAGAGACCGCGGCCCCCAAAGCGGCTTGGGGAAAAAGGACGGCAAAAGGCGCCAACTGATGGGCAGCCAGGGAAAAGCAGGAGTCGCCCCCAAGTCACGCAAACAGGAAGCCTGTTTCTTTTGTGAGGGGACTAGAAGCCAGCATTATATTTCATCAGGTGTGTACATAGAGACTTATTCACACCAATGGAACGATATCTCTCAATGCGTGTAAACGCTTCATGAGAAAGCTGTTACTTTGGGTCTTGAATGTTTTTCAGTCTTCCCCAAACCCTCAATTTAAACACAAACGGCCACGAGAGACATAACGCCTGAGGTATGAGAAAGTATGCACATTGATTGAGAACAATCCCGGCAAAGCAAATAGGAAAAAGATACGGAATGATCCGAGGGAGGAAAAATGTGGGGGTCAAAAGAAAAGTAACAGCCTCCTACATTCCACCTTGGACTTTCCCTTCTGAATGGGTTTTCAGCACACAATTGTACGGCCTTACTCAGTGCTTCTAATCCTAGGTTTGCCTGTCTAGGCCACAGGTTAGCAACTACAGTTTGCTGCCTGTTCTTGTACAGCCCACAAGCTAAGAATGTTTTTTGCAATATTTCATGGTTAAAAATGGAAGAATATTTCAGGGCTACGAAAATTATATGAATTCAAAATTTGATGATCGTAAACAAAGTTTTACTGCAACATAGTCATCATTTACATATTGTCTATGGCTGCTACCATGAAAGAACAGCAGAGTTGGATAGTTGTGACAGAGACCTTATGACCCACAAAACCTAAAATATTTACTGCCTGATTTGCCAACACCTGCTCTAAAAGGTCTGTTCAGTGGTCACAAGATAAAGCATTAAAGCCAGTAAATGCTCATATGATTTCTTCTTGTGTAAGTAAAATTGATACTAGATATTAACTTCCTTTAGAACCTTACAAACACCCACCTGAGCCCCCATTCATCATCTACTCTTTCAGCCAGCATTTACTGAAGAATGGTTCTGACATACTGCCATCACTATAGATGACAATGAAGTAAGAATGAGGTGTGGATCCTTCACTCAAGGAATTTGTCATTAGGAATGCTGGAAAACCTATATCTGAGGCTGGAAAGTATGAGAGCTGGATATAGCACAGAAAGGGAGCTTGGGAAGGTAGTTTCATTTCCTGGGAGAAAAAATGGGAGTCTGATATTCCGAAATTGGAGGATTGTAACCAACACAAGTTGAATTCAGTTCACTGTCATTGGCTCAGTGCTGGGGTCTAATCTATTTACTGGCTATGACAAATTAACTCCTCTGTGCCTCAATGTTCTCATCTATATATTGGGGACAGTGATATTTCCCTCATAGGTTTGTTGAGAGGTTTACATGAGATAATGTATATAAAGTGCTTAGCATTCTACCTGTCAAAATATCTAGCTTTCTATAAATGGTTGGTAGTTATTCACTTGTTTAACAAAAATTCATTGAGTACCTATTATGATGTTCCAGGCAATGTCTGTGCTGTCCAATCTCATGGTCACTAGTCACATGTAACTACTTACATTTTAATTAATTAAAATTAAATAAAATGTAATAATCAGTCCCTCAGTAGCACTAGCCACATTTGAAATGCTCAGTACCTACATGTGGTTAGTGCTACTGTATTAGATAGTACAGCTATAGAACATCCCATCATCACAGAAAGTTCTATGAGATAGTGCTTTTCTAGAGAGTAAGGATTCAGCTATGAACAAAACCAAGTCTCTGCCTTTAGGGAGCTTACATTTGGGTGGACAATAGATAATAAGCAAATAAATGCATACTATATCAGGTATTGATAAATATTTTAAATAGTAAGATCAAACACTTCCCTAGTACTTTCTATGGCTGTTACTGTCCTGAGTGCTTTTTACTAACTCTTAATCACTCCAACAACCCCATGAGACAGGTAAGCTAAGTAACTTACCCAAACTGCTAGAAAGAGGAAAAGCCAAAATCCAAACTGATGAAATCCGGCTTCAGAGTCCATTCTCTTAATCAACATGCTATATTTCTTCTCAAAGCAAAGCAAAAATAGAAAAAAAAGAAGAATAATAAAATAAGAGGTTAGACACTAGTAGTGGGTACTATTACAATTATTATAGTAAACATCTTAACCTCTATGCAAGTAGGGTATTTCATTGGTTAGGCTTTGGCCAGAAATAACACACTACAACAGGATAATGAAAAAAATCTATTTTCAAAGGTGTGGGTGAAATTAAAGAAAACCAATAAGGCATAGTGCAGTGCATACCCTAGGGCTTGATACCAAGGAACTATTACTTATCCTAGGCCTGATGAGCAAAGTAAGGAAACAGTGATTAAAACAACAAAAGAATAATTGTAAAAAGGGAGACATCCTATGGGACCTGTCACTAATGGAATGAGGCAGTGAACCTATGGTGACCCATCAGGGAAAGAGCCAGGAGAATAAATAGCATAACTCTACTTTCTTCTGCCATCTTATCTCCTGCTAGTGTCTCCCATTGGCTGAACCCAACCAGAAATCAGAGGGCAAGAGAGCCCTTGATGCAATCCATGTAGCTCAAATTCCCAGGACACAGAGCTGACTGGATGACCAGGAGGCATAAACAGAAGATATCCAGTAAAGTCTTCTTACTCTGAACATCTTCTCTTGTACTTTGTTCATATAAAAATTGAACAAACCTTTTGGGACACATAAAAAAAGTTCCAGTAACTATGGTGTCATAATAGAGTAATTGAATTTGAACATATACCTGAGACATAAAATATTAATCGTTACTATTACCCTTCCTAATGGGAAGAGTGGGGATGGAGGACAAACAATACGAAACATAACTGTTAGAATCCCTACTTCTATGGTTGGTCATGAAATTTAAGTTGAGAATCATAGCTTTCTTCTTCCACTACCCATTGCACATTCCCCTTTCTGCCAGCACTTCACTGTATAAGGCTCTTTACAGAGGCCTCCTACAAGGCTCTTTGTAAAGGCTCTTTACAAACTTTTTTATTTTATTTTATTTTTTTACTTTATTTTTTGAGACACAGTCTCAGTCTGTCGCCGAGGCTGGAGTGCAGTGATGCAATCTCAGCTCACTGCAACCTTCACTTCCCAAGTTCCAGCAATTCTCATGCCTCAGCCTCCCGAGTAGCTGGGATTACAGGCACATACCACCATGCCCAGCTAATTTTTGTATTTTTAGTAGAGCTGGGGTTTCACCATTTTGGCCAGGCTGGTCTCAAACTCCTGACCTGAAGTGATCTGCCCGCCTCAGCCTCCCAAAGTGCTGGGATTACAGGCGTGAGCCACTGCGCTCAGCCCAAACCTTTGATCCTACAAGATTTAGGTTCTTGGTGCATCTCTTGTTACTGAGTTCCTTCAGTTTTCCACTGATCAGGACTATTGGATATGTGTGTACTCACATGGACTTGTTAATGAACTTCTAGGTTCTAGATATAGTCCTCCTTGATTTGATTGTATAGCAGCAACTAATTTCCCATTGGTATTGTAATCAATTACTTAAGGCTATATAGTGGTGCCTTTCTTTTCTTGTTCCAGTTTCCAGCTCAATAGGCTGTGAATTCCCTGGTGGAAGTACTTCTTCTTTGGATATGAGAGTTTCCAAACCTGCTAAGTTTGTGGGGCTTGGAAGAAAAAAATATCTCTGTAGTAAGTTTTTTGCTGTAATAGTGAGAAGAATATATCTTTGCTTCCTGGATGTCTGAATTCTCGCTATCGGCAAATTATGCCACACGTTGGCTATTGGTTTAAGGAACGTGCTGCATTCTTGAGGATAGCACCTCAACTTCTCATGGTGCTGTCTCACAGCTGGTGTCATAACTGAGCCTTCAGAAGACCATTACACCATTTAATAATACCAGCTTCTTCTGTTTGATGGGATCCATGGTAAGACCACTGAATTCCAAAGATATTAGTTAATTGTCATACTTCCTTTGCTGTAAAATGGGTCCCCTGGGCAAAAGTAATATGTGGTAGAGCAAGGCAATGGTACGCTTATTCTGTAAGTTCATGAATAGTGGTATTAGCAGAAGTGCTGTGGCCTAGGAAAGAAAATTGGTACCCAGAAATCTCTACAGAAGACAAATGGTTATTCCCCCCCGATAATAGATGTGCAGTATAACCAACCTGGCACCAGCTAGCTGGTTGGTTCTTCTGGGAAATAAAGCCATATCACAGAACCAGCATTTGATCATTGCTGTTGACAGTTTGAGCACTTAACATGAACGGTAGCAAAATCAGCACATTATTGAAATTGATCAGTACAATTATTGAAATCATTCAGAATCTGTCCCGACTGACATGGCCATTTTGTACATAGGCCCATTAAACAAGCACTACTTGACTAAAGAAGCTGATTCACATCTACCAGACAGGTCATATTGACTACCTGATTCAGATCAAAATATTTTCAATTTTTCCTTGTAATTTATTCTTTATGCATGTTATTCAGACATGTATTTTTAAATTTTCAAATATTTGGGGCTTCTCTAGGTATTTTTATTGATTTCTAATTTTATTCTTTTAATATATATAAAATACATTAACTATATGTATAAACTCAAAGAATATATATTAAATATTAAAGGATATATAAATATTTTTAAAGAATGAAATCTTAAAGGATATATATATATATATATATATATATATATATATATTCTTTTAAAATCTGTTGGGACAATTTTTTAGTGGCCCAGAATATAGCCTGTCTTGGGGAATATTTCATATGCACTTAAAAAGATGATGCATTCTGCAATTGTTGGGGGTAGTGTTCTTTAATCATGAGCTAAGATCTGTGTAGGAAATAGTGTCATTTACATCTTCTTCTGTACTGATTTTTTTCAGTTCTATCAATTATAGGAAAAGTCTGTTAAACACATAATTGTGAATTTGTCTATTTCTCTTTTTAGTTGTATAAGTTTTTGTTTCATATGTTTTTTGCTTTGGCACATATACGTTTATGATTGTGATATCTTTTATCATTATGAAATAACTGTTTCTGGCAGTAATTTTTTTTTTTTGAGACGGAGTCTCGCTCTGTTGCCCAGGCTGGAGTGCAGTGGCACGATCTCGGCTCACTGCAACCTCTGCCTCCCGGGTTCAAGCGATTCTCCTGCCTCAGCCTCCTGAGTAGCTGGGACTAAGGCGCATACCACCATGCTCAGCTAATTTTTTGTATTTTTAGTAGAGACCAGGTTTCACTGTGTTAGCCAGGATGGTCTTGATATCCTGACCTCGTGATCCGCCCGCCCGGCAGTAATTTTTGTCTTAAAGTCTCTGATACTAACATAGCATCTCTAGCATTCCCATGCTTCTTTTTCTTTGCACATCTAATAAATTTGGTTAAGACTGGACATTGTAATGTATTGTAGCAACTCTGAATTCTGTTACATTTTCCTGAAGATTGTTGGGTTTTTTTTCTAGTAGGCAGTTTGACTTGCCTGGTCTCAAATTTCAGTTTTCAAACCATATGTCTCCTGTAGCTGCTACTATCTCTGTTGGTTTTTCTTTCTTCCCTCAGCTTCTGATTTTTTAGACTGTCCCCCTAAGTATCTTTCCTGTGACTGAGTAGATTAGTCATTAGTCAAGCATTTGGGGAGAAATTATGTTCAGATTCTGGGCTTATTCTCTCTGTCTTTTTGCTTCAGGAGTTTTCTCCCTAAACTCCCCCTTAAACTGCTCTTCCAGTTTTAAGCTGACCTCTGATACCTCAAGCAAGTAAGGCTTCTGCTTTCTGCTGCCTGAGCTGTCCACATTTAGTTTTAAAAAATAGTCAACTTAAGGCTGGGCACAGTGGCTCACACCTGTAATCCCAGCACTTTGGGAGGCCGAGGCGGGCGGATCACGAGATCAAGAGATCGAGACCATCCTGGCCAACATGGTGAAAACCCGTCTCTACTAAAAATACAAAAAATTAGCCGGGTGTGGTGGCAGGCGCTCGTAGTCCCAGCTACTCGGGAGGCTGAGGCAGGAGAATCACTTGAACCTGGGAGGCGGAGGTTGCAGTGAGCCAAGATTGTGCCACCGCACTCCAGCCTGGTGACAGAGCGAGACTCCATCTCAAAAAAAAAAAAAAAAATAGTAAACTTATAAATCTCACTAAGTGCAGTCTTATCTTTCAAAGGTAGACTCTCTTCTGATTTTTCTCTGCCTTTTATTTGTTGGCCTCCCTTGGATGTTATCCACAGGTGAGTAGTTTAGCAGTCAGCCATGGATTTGGGCAGAGTTTATACTCAGATTGATCATTACGCATTCTATGCATGCAACAAAATATCATGTGTACTCCATGAATATGTAAAATATTTTTTTTCAGTTTAACTAATAGATACTAAATGATTTCTTAGGTTAGGTTTTGTGAAATTACCAGCAGAAGCCATTGATTGTGAAATTTTAATTAAACTATGATCTTGCCAAGTGAAAAAGGTAGCATTAAGGGGACATAAGTTTCATTATGATATGGAATCTTATTTAATGTCTTGGTCAAAGCTGTTTACAGCATGAAAACATTAGCTTTTCTTTTTGATTTGTACTTTGAATGTCTCTGGTCATGACGTTAGCAGTTTGGTGAACTTTTGTACAGTCCATATCTTAGGCATGAGGCTTGTTTCTTAAAATCCATTTAGTTTTAGTTTATAGAGCTTTAGGAATAAGGCAGTTTTTGTTGGAGAGTTGTAGCCAAATATTGGGGGAGATTAGGAGAATGTAGGATCTAGTTCGGTCTATAGGTATATAACAAGATCTTGAAAACAATGTACAGGGATATAATCTAGTAACAGGTGTATCATAGGGTTTTTTTAAAGAAATATAATTTTATTTTTTAAAATATTGATCGTATAAGAATTTTAGATTTAAAAACTGTTTGAGGCTTGGAAGCCAAACAAAGGCCAACTTTAGATTTTATTTATAGTCTTAAGTTCTTGAGCCTGACAGGAAGTGACAATTTTTATTTACTCATTTTAAGGCTGAGAATTCTTGAAGATAGGCATTTTATGTACATTTAAAAATATGACATTTTAGTTAAAGCCTTGTTAATATAACCAAAGTTTTAAAGCATATTTTGTTTATAAAGAGAGAGCAGATTTTAATTGAAATTATGTAAATAAAAATAAAAATATTTATGAATGGTTTTTACATTTTTGGAGAATCAACTAGGGAGAAAAAGTAAATGTTTTCATCTTTGTTTACAAAAGTATACTTTCCCAAGTTCTCATAAACTACAGATAGGTTATGAGAGAAAATTTTCTTAAATCTGGAGATAAAAACATTTAAGTAAAGAGCCAACAATGCTTTAAATAAAAGTCATAAGAACATTATTCGTATCAATTATTCAATTTCATGAAATTAAATTTTTGTTTTGTTTAATCCTGATTAGTAGTTTTGTAAGTCCATTAGTTTTGTATTAGAGTTATGGAAATTTTCATTTAGTTCATTGATTTAAAACTTATCAGAAATCTGTGTGAGTACTTATTAGAATTCATTGCTTTTCCATGAAAAGCAATTTTAGACTATAGCTGATTGCAAAAACTTTTAAAGGACTCAAAGCAATAACTGTGGATAACAAGGACTCAGAATAGCCATGGTCAAAATCTGATGAAAGTTTTCAGTTGACAAGGAAACTAGTTATTTTTACTGTATGTAGCATTTTAAGATAACCAGAATCAGGACTGACAGCATTACACCAGGACCATTAGACTTTTATAAATTTTATATATTTTTTCAATTAGTTACCTGAATAGCATATTTATATAAATGTAACTTTAGAAAAGATTAATATAACAAACAAATTATCACTGATAACATTAGATTTTTATGAATTTATATAATTTTTGGAACATTTATATCAATACCATATCCCTAAATGTAACTGAAAGAAGATTTACTACCATTTATTATTTGACAATGTCTTTTCTGCAATTTATCAAGTGCCTAATTATTTACTATTTCTATAAGATTTTATATATATTATATATTTTATATATATTATATATATTTTTTGTATAATATAAAATATATCTTATATATTTTATATATATTATATATATTTTATATATAATATATATTATATAGTTTATATATTTTATATATAATATATATTATATGTAGTTATATTTTATATATAATATATATTATATGTAGTTATATTTTATATATAATATATATTATATGTAGTTATATTTTATATATAATATATATTATATGTGCTTATATTTTATATATAATATATATTATATATGCTTATATTTTATATATAATATATATTATATATACTTATATTTTATATATAATATATATAGGCTTTCTGTGGCTCAACTGGAAAATTTTAAAGTTAATTTTAGTCAGAAAGACCTAATTTAGGATTTTGAACCTAGGGAAACCTACCAAAGATGTCAAAGGTTTAAAACAGTTGTTTAAAACAGAATTACAGGTCATGGCTAAATAACATGTATTTATTTAACCAGAGTGATAACCAAAAGACTTAAAAAAATAGAGTTTTAAAGGGGTTAAAAGGGTTATTTTTTTTACATCCATGTAGCTTTCTTTATTACTTTTAAAGTAATCCAAAACCTAGTAAATTCAATGCAGCAATTATCTTAATAAAACATAAAATGTTTGAGTTTTTTTTTTAAGGCCAGTTACAAAAAGGTAAAAAAACCAAACCAAAACAAAACAAAAACATCCTCCCATAGTGTGATTACGTTTCCTTATGTGAAGCTCATTTAAATAACTGGAAAGTCAAATCTGAGGAAATGGGTACTTGAATTTAATCAGATGCCAGAAAAGTGTGTTCAGACTCCAGAAAAGTGAGTGAACTATATTATAGAGGAATGTAAACAGGAAAATGCCTTGAGCAGGGAAATACATTGACTCTTACTAACAGCATGGAAAGTTTTGGTTATATGGAACAATTTAGGCATGTCAAGAAAAGCCAAGACTAAAGAATCAAGTTACACTGGAGGAAAATATTGTTTTTTTAGAACTTTATGACAACATCTCAGCATTATGCCAGAAAAGCAGGGTTAAAACCAGAGAAAGAAAAGTTACAGGAGTTGACAAAGGTTGAGAGAGAGAGTTATCACCTCAACTAAGAAAAAAGATAAATCTTTTTTTAAGGGGAGAAAGAACAGAAGGCAATGATGTGTGATCTGCAAATCATGTGCAGCGAAGTCCAGCAAAAGTTGAACTTTTGAGATGTAAATCTGAGCAGTTTAAAAATATATATTTTAGAATTAAAAATCAAAACTTGTAATTTTAGTAAGAGCAAATTAATATTTTAAGAAAACGTTATTGTTTCAATGTAGAAGACCATAATTTTTAGTTTTGTATTAGTGTATTTTTAATATCAAAGCTTAATCTTTAGAAAGACTTTTAAATAATTTCTAAAAAGTTATAATATCACTTGATCACCCACAAAAATTTTTAAATACATTTTTAATGAACTTTATTAGAACTTGTATACACCATTGATTACATGTTTAGACATTTTGGTTTGTCTTACATGTTCTTTAAAAAAACCAAAAACAGTTATTTTAGTTTAGGACACAAATTTACCATACAAAATTTTTTTAATACAAAGTTATTGCTTTAGCTGTTATTTTTACCAAGAATACATTTTTATAGCATGTTTTACATTCTTTGAATTTATTGGTTTGTTTTTATTGTTTTTTAATCTATATTTTGAAACAAATTTAACATGACCTTCAAATTAGACAAAATTATTTTTTCAATAAAGAATGTTTTTTCATAATTTTTTAATATTAAAAACTATTTGTACACTTTATGTACAGAATTACATATTAATTAGAATTTTTAACTGTTAGTAACCTTAAATTTGAGTGAAAACTTAGGAAGCAAGAAATCTGGAATAATCTATCTCATTTATAGATGAGAACTATTTTATAATTTTTAGAAACATTTTTCTATAACAATTTTTAAATTTTATTTGGAAATAACTCAGACATTTAATGAATATCGATTATTTAATTTAACAGAACTTTAAGATTTTAAGTTCTATGAAAAGTTTATTTATAAGCATTTATTTCATTTATATTTACTTAATTTAATTTTAACAGTTTACCTAGATTATTTATAAGAACTGAGATATTAGACAAAGATAGTCACTACTTTAAGTTACTTTTTTTGTTAACAATTTTTATGACGTGTAAACATTAGGTATTCACCTAAGTGAGAACCTTAAAGTTAAATACATGAGTATTATCCCAATAACTTGGAAGAGTTAGCTGTTGTTTTAAACCAACAATATTAATTTAGTTTTATTTATCAAAATATTACACAAAGGTCATTTTGTTTTAGGCTGGGTTAATAGTTTCATAACTCTCATGCCAAACCCTGACACCTTAATATATATAAACATATATGTGTGTGTGTGTATCTATCTATATAAGAAAAAATATAAAGTTGTCTGACCAGTAAACCCAGGCGAAAATGTATGTTGACAATTTTGAAGACATTTTTATTTTTATTTTATCAATAATTTAAAAACCAGCTTATTTATTAAAGATTTACTTAAGTCATGAACTAAGAAGCATTTGGGTTAATAACTATATATTCTATATTTTATATGAGTGCCCTTTTATCTAAATAAAAATGTTTAAGGGAATTTGGGTCAACTAAGCCAGATTTTGCCATGTAGACACAACATACAACACAATACATGTACATATGTATAAATTTATTTAAACACATACATACACAAACAAAGAGCTTATAGTTTTTATTTTAGAATTTTAGTTAGGGGATAGTAATGTAAACTCATCAGTTTGTAAAAGATAGTTGGATCCAAATTATATTTTTGACAAAATTGGAACCTGTTTATATGGCTAAACCTTATTTGCCCCAGTAGGTAAGACTGTGGACCAAAATTTTGAGTAAAGCGTTTTTCAGGGCAGTTTGATTTTTAAAAACCTCTTTTATTCCTTTTTGCCCAGTTTTAGATGAGTTTAGATTTAAACTTTTAATGTTTGCATTGTGGTGAGGACTAGCTGAATTGTATGAGAAAAACCTCTCCCAACTTGCTTTGAATTAGTAACAATTTTACAATTACTAAAGCAAATTAGTAAAACAAGTCTTTTGTTTGCCAGTCTGATTTGTTTGATTAGCACATGAGGGCAGGGAAGCATTTTAACCGTTTTTTTTTAGATTATTAATTTTTGAATTAAATGTTTTATTATTGTACACAATTGCTAATCAGGCAAACCTAAATTTATATTTTTGGAAGGTGTCCATGTTGTTAGTTACTGTGGAGCTGTTGTAATTTGTAAAGCCGTTAATATGGTAGCCCTTTAAGAATTTTTTTTTTTTTTTTAATCTTGGCTGGAATGCCAGAGCAGTGAGATAGCAGTGAGTTTTATTTCACCACTAGCAGAAAAGCCAACATATTTAAAGTAGGAAGAAAAAAATAGAGAGACATAGAACTTAAAATACTACATGTTAACTGTATAGTTGCAGGTTTTTAAAATAATGGCCATTTATGTAGCCAGCTGGAGGCCCAGGAAACCTGGCATGCCTTAATATTTGAGAATTCCATTGTGTTTCTTATTAATCCCTTAAGAGCAACAAAACTATAAATCCTATAAATCCAGGGAATATCAGGGGTTTAAATTGGTGTTTTAGATGGTGGTGAGTGCTCTAGTGGCTTTTAATTAGCTATCTTGTGTCTACTGTTTAGAATGTTTATTTTTTTCTTCCCAGAAGATTTTCAGAAATAATAAGGGAAAGTAGTCAAACGTAATCAAAAGAAACCAAGGTAAGAGTGTTCACAAAATTTTAACCCAGGTGTGCAGATCAAATGAAATACTAAACTACACATGGAACCCAGAGAAGACATGCCTCACAGACCGAATGTAAATTCTCTAGAAAGCAAGAGTATTCAATCGAAAAAGACTTGTCTTTATACCAGGACTTACCAGAAAAGACTGGAAAAAAAAGTATTTTATAGCCCAGAAGCGATGTAAGATTTCTTATTAAAGTGGCCTTATTTAAACTAGATCCCAAATAAAGTAAAAAAGCCCCTGTCGAAAGGAGAGAGGCTCAGCTCATAAGGGCCAAAAAGGTGAGCTGTGGAAGTGGAGGGATCAAAGGGCTCAAGTGAGTACTGCACACTGGTTCCAAAAGCCATCAATTTCTTCCAATAGTGACCTTTTTCACATCCCACTTCTGATATCATATATGTCAACCTAAATAACAGAGTCTCTCAAAAAGAAAAAAAAATGTGTATTTGGGAATAGAACATTGCAGTGGGAATATGCATGCCATAGTAAACTATGTTTGTACTCAAGGAGGTAAAGGAAGGCTAAGGTTTTTAAAGAAAAAAAAAGGAGGCTTTCATAATTGTTTTGAAGTAATTATTCTTGACTACTAAGATCTGTAACAAGCGCAACACCATTTTGAGGTTGGACAGGCAGTTGCTGGACAGATGTCTGTGCAGAAATATCTTTTGCATAAGGTTGCAATGGCCTTTGTGCAAAGTTGTGATTTTTGTAGTCTTTTGTGTTATCAGGCATACAAATGTGAGAACTCTCTCTTCATGGCCTTCCGTGGCTTTATTTGTTGGAATTTTCTTGACATTAGTGGATCCATTTTTATTCTGACAACTTTCACAATATTTGTGTGTGCATGAGGGGGTGACTACTTGAGATTAACTTGCAGACGCAATGTTCCTTTATCTCTAACTACCTCCATGTCTATTTTGTAAGCACAAAGACATTCTAGACATTATATACAACCCTAATTTAATTTTCAAAATTGAGAAATTAATATTAATATAATATATTATCTAATATACAGCCCTTGTTTAAATTTCATCATTTGTCTCACTAATATACTTTTTACCCAAAGAAAAAAGTTTAGTTCAAGATCAAATCCAGAATTATGTTTTGCATGTATTTGTTTTGCCTCTTTAATCTCCTTTAATCTGGAACTGTTTCTTGGTCTTTTTACTAGTTTCCTACTTCAGCTATAAAAATTATCGCAACTTTAACGTCTTAAAAACACACAAATTTATTATCTTAGAAGTCTGAAGTCAGTCCTGGTAATCCAAAGTCATGGTGTCAACAGAGCTGGTTCCTTCCTGAGGCTCTGAGGAGAGAATCCATTTTCTTGTCTTTTTTAGTTTTTAGGGCTCTCACACATTTCTTGGATCATTGAGGCTCTTCCTCGCATTACTGTAACCTTTTACATACATCACCACATCTGTGACTACTAACTCTGACTCTCCTGCCTCCTTCTTACAAGGACACTTGTGACTATAATGGGCCTAGCCGGATAATCCAGATAATCGCTGCATGTCAATGTTCTTAATTTAATCACATTTGCAAGACTTGTTTTTTTTTTTTTACTATGTATGGTAACATATTCACAGGTTTCAGGGATTAGGAAATAGATATCTTTGGGGGTCATTAGTCAGCCCACCAGAGTGCTCATGATACAGTATGTTTTTGAAAGTCATTGTGAGTCCTTTTGAAAAGAAGGTAGATGGAAATGAAGACAGAAAAGCAGGGAGAAGATAATGAGTGGGAAATTAAAAGAAGCTCAGGAAAGGGAGGAGACAGGAAGATACACCTATTAGTCTGCATTTCTGGTTTGGCAAACTGATGAAGATCTAGATCCCCTTCTTGATAGAAGTAAGGAAAAAGGCAATATGCTCTTTTCTGGACCTATTTTTTAAGTGCTTAAAGTTTGGGAAAAAGTTGATGTCTGATGTCTGTGGTGGGGGACTGTCATGAGAAAAAGTGATTTCTGATTCCTTAAATTCTATTCCAGTGTATAGACTGTAAATTTCAAAAAATATACACAGCTATACACCTGTGGAATTATTTTTCTTCAAGTGGATACATTTCATGACTTCACAACTCATTGTAAAAAAGTAGTTGATTTGCTTTATGTGAAATAGAAGTTGGAGCTTAAAAAGAAAGTCAACCTTTTCTCTCTCCAGGATATCCAGCATGAAGCCACATTACCATTCCTCCCTTTTGCACATACACATCTGACTTCTCCTGGGCCTACAGAATGCAGTTTGATTCTTCTTTGCATTTCCCAATCTGTGCTGTACTGCTACAATAGTGATGCTGTAGCCACAACAGAAAAACTTACCCGTAGAATTAGCAATGATTCAGAATATGAGCTGAGCTGGATCTGATGGCTGAACAACATGGTACCACGGAAAGTGAATTCCATTGACAAGCAGGAAGAAGAGCCGCATGAAAAGAGGAAGGTGATATTTCAGATTTCCAGACTCCAGTTTTCTATCAAGTTGGATAATAACTTTTTTTTTCAAGTTTCAGTTATTTATTAATCAGTGTAATCTCCCTAGTAGATTACATCAACATGATTTCATGCATTTAGAGGAGAAATATTTCCTGGTTAAGTGGAAAATTGTGTGGATTGCTTCTGGAAGACCTTCATTCTAAAGCAGCTTTATAGTGAAACATTTCATTTAGAAATCTGGACCTTCTTTCTTCAGTTGGCTGTAATCCACATTCACTGAGTAGAACTTGTATAGATCATTGGGACCCAGTTTGTTCCAGGGCTCTGGGTTATTCTTTCTGTCCCAACTAACATCTGGATTGAACAATGCCAGACACAAGAGATACAGTGCTGCTCTAGTACCTCCAGCTCCAGTAAATACAAAAAAGGGGGATCAAGTTCAGATCCTCTGACTGATGATCTGGTGGAACATGTTTGCGGCAGAGGCCTCCGATTGGAAAGGAAAGAACCAGCGTCGCCACCAGGCCCTGGGCTAAGTAGTATCTGCTGGATAATAACTTTTAAGATCACAAAAGACACCTACACAGATAAAACAAGGTTTTCCTTTCTCTATCCTCTCTCATCACCAAATGTCCAGCTTAGAGTCGCCCTCTTTCAAAAATACCAAACACATCTCAGGGTAGGTCATTTCCTGTGGTCCCCAGTGTGGGTAAAATCCTTGGCTCTACAGATACATTTCAAATGGGTTTGTTTTGGAGGCATCTTCCTCTCTAAATCCTAAATACTCTGTTGACACTCTTAATCTGGAATTTTTGAGGGGTAGAAAAGGGAAGTGCGATCTGAAGTGTTATCCCAGTTTCATGTTTGAACTTGTTAAGAAAATACCTCTGTCCTCAGTGACGTACTCTTTTGGGTTTGGATGTGGTATCCTAGAAGTTCCAAATGATGAAAACTTTAAATGGATGAGTTCTCATGGAGATAATTTCTAAATGCTTATGCAGTTAAAACTAAAGCTATGCCTCTGTGATTCCAGTAATGAGACTCTTCCCCCTCACCCAGCCAAATACCTCCAATGACAGACATCAAATACCTCCAATGACAGACATTGAGATTTATACTATAAAACAAAATGTCACCCCACCATCCTGATACCAAAAATCTGATCTTATAGGGGTAGAGGATTAGGAAAACCATGAGGAGCCCAAAAGAAGAATACATTGTGTGCCTTTACATTTCCTGTTAGGGCATCCTTCCATCCCCAGATAACTAGCTTGGGATGTCCCTTGCTCTGGTCTCTGTGCTATCTCCTAGAGACCTGGCCACACCTACAGCATTTTGCAGGTCAGAGGCCAGAAGAACATGAATCCTGGCTCTGTCAGAGTCTTCAGAAAAGAACATCTATAAGAAAGACATCTTTTTCTTGCCACTTCTCATAATCATAATTTTGATGCACTTTGGGCCAAAAGTTCCTTTTTTTCATGGGGAATGGAGGTGAGTGAGGGAAGAATAAAGATGTGGGTTGATAAAAATATTTTTCAGTGTTGAGCAGCATTTGTGCACAAAGCATGTGGCACAAGATTGCCAGATGCCAATCCAGTAGCAAATACTCCTTTTCATCCTTTGTGATAGATTCTAGAGCAGTGTGCCCAAATGAAAAACTACATTTCTCTCTCACTTCTCAGGGTTGGGGTGTGAATGAGATATAAGCTGAAGTAGTTGGGTGAGTTTTGCAGGAAAGCTTCTCCTGCTGTCTGGAATGCAGACATGAAGCTTGGAACTCTTACAGCCATCTTGGACTAAAAAGCGATCTTACAAAAAAAAGCTTCAAGTTAAAGATGGCAAAGCAAATGAAGGAAGTCTCAGATCCTTGGTCACCATGGAGCCTCAATCCTGGTCCTCCTTCTTCCAGACTTCTTTCGCTTGAGAAGGTTAACTATTTTTTTTTCAAGTTACTGTTACTTTGTCTTATTATATGCTATTAAACAATCCAATATGGATTATGAAGAGGAATACCCAGTTATTTGAAGTTGTTTCATACTCAGTTTGTTAAAATCATAAGGTTATAATTTTCATGTTGGGTGGTAGTTTCAAGGATGTTTATTATTATAATTTTATATGATTATTGTTATGCATAGATAATAATAATTACATTCTCTACCACAGGGAGCCATTTTTTTCAGATTAGAACCCCAAATTGAAAAGCCATCAAGGTCTTTCATAAAAGAAAATGAATTGAAAAGTTCTGGGGTGGGAGGTGGAGGTAAGAGAGGTGGTAACCTGGGAAAGCCTGGAAAAAGTCCTGGGAAGACAAGCTTATAGCATCCTGGTTCCCCTCTGGAAATCCCCCTTTTTGATTCTACCCTAAACTTCTCCCCTCCCCAAATCATTCACTGGGTACCAATTGTGGTAAGAAGAGTTTGCTATGTTTCCCTATTCTTTTGTTCTGTTCTGCTTTTAAAAAATTGGACTTTCAGGGTTGTTAAATAAAATTTATAGGAGGCCATTGTTTTGGACTGAGCTCCTGCACTAGACCCAAATGGATCAAACCAAAATGTAGTCCATGCTAAGTACCACATAATCAAACTGAAACTCAAAGGAAGGAAGACAATCCCCCAAAAGGCCAGTTTTTTTTCTAAAAAAGTGGGAGATTCACAGCAAACAATCAGAAAGGGACCAATCAACCTGAGCCAGCATGATAAGGAAGTCCTCTCTACTTTATCCCTTACTATGAAAGTAACCTGATATTAACCAATCTGCTTTCTGTTTTTTATTTGTTTGTGTGTGTGTGTGTGTTTGTTTTTTTTTTTTTTTTTTTTTTTTTTTTGGTTGGTTTCTTGGTTCTTGTATTACTCTCTTTTCTTTTTCCTGCTTAATCTACCTTACAAAAAAACCACTGTTCTGTTATGTTCAGTGGAGTTTCCCTGTATTTGTAGGTGGGATGCTGCCTGGTTCATGAGTCACTAATAAAAGCCAATTACATCTTTAAATTAAATTTGTTGAAACTTTATTTTTAACAATTCTGGCAACCACAAAGGGACCCAAAGGAAAGACTGCTGATACCTTTAAAGTCTACTGTCTTCCTCATAGAGCCTGGAAGTCATGAGCAACTTTCTCTCTCTTTCTGTGCCTCTCTGTTTCTCTCAGGTCCAAGCTCTGCTGTCTTTTACATTTGAGCACCCTGATCTCTTTGGCTTTTTTGTCCCAAGAGTTTGTTTGTGCTGTCATAGGGCATATGATTTTGGGTGTTAACAGTGATCAGTGGGCTTTAGTTTTAAAGGTAACTGAGAGCAATTGCAGTAAATGGCAGTTACTTCCAGAAGGTGACTCCACCTTTCACAAGTTTTCAGAAATTTGGGTTTCCTTCCCTTCATTACTTTTATTCTAATGGGCTAAGGTAAGGAAAAATCACTGGCTAAGTTGGTCAAGGGAATCTCAGAGCCAAGCCACAACTTGGCTGGTGGGCATTGGGTTGGGCACCAAAAAGCTGCCAGTGGACCCTGTCACCTACAAAAAGACTCCTATGTTAGGATAAGTTGGTCATAGATGGGTTAGATGATACTAGGTCACCCGCCAACCTCAAGAAAATGTCTATGCAATGAAGAACATGATGAAAATAGCACACAACTGAACCCTATGACATTTCCTCCTTAAGCTTTTATCTCAGCTCTGAGAGACCCAAGTTTCAATGTAAAAATGGGATCCTACTATCTAAAGGACTGAGTACTCCACTTTGCAGTAAGCCTATCTTTTTCACATATGAAAATTATGGCTCCAGAAGCTGTGAATACTTACAAAAGTGGCATTTTTTTTTTACCAAAGATAATTCAGAATTACAATAGCCATATGTGGAACATTCCAAATGGAGAAGATTGTTCATCTAAAAGGGGTACTTGAAACCCAGGTTTCCTGAATTAGGAAGACAGAATTGGATGCATATTTTAATTGACAGATAGAAGCTTCTAAGAGATTACAAGATTCTAAAATGGACATTTTAGATTTATTGCAAAAAGCTAATGAAAAATTGAAAATACAAGCTATATCCCACACCAAGGACGGTATGATTGATAGGAGTCCTACTGCCCCTCTCTATTCTCCTTTTCTTGGGTATTTCCAGCCTACTGACCCTCTGTCTGAATTATCTTTCTTCTCTGAATAAAAAAAAATGGTTATATAGTTTCCTTATAAGAAACAACCATCTGAGAATTCAGGAGATAGTCCTCGAGTGACTTCTGATCTTTGGACAAAAAATGAGGGCTAGAGTTAAAGAATTTTCCAAACCTAGGGCTATAGTTAAAGAATTTTCCAAACCTAGGGAAGCTTTCTTCTTTAGCATTCTGCCTTCTACACAGTGGATAATACAACCCAACCAACCCTACCCACCCCCTTTGTAAATGGACTCTTCCCTGAAATTATCTGGTTCGTAAAAACACAAAAGATAGGTAGGTGCCTACAGGTTTAGCTGAATTAGTGATTATAGCTGAATATTTTGAAAGGACCTTAGAATAAGATAAAAAACAAAGAGCTTCCAAATATTGATTTTGCAATTTCAGCAACTCCATAGCATCAACAATTTAAATGACCTTTGGACCTACCACAGTGCTTTCTTAAGAAGTTACCCTTAAAAAAGCAGTTTCCAATAAAATGTTACCATTTGTGCAAACAACTGGGACATTGGAATAGGAACTGCCCTCAAAGATTTCAAAGGAGGCCTCTAAACACAGGCTGCCTATTCTCCAGTAGTAGGTGACATGACACCAGGACTGATGGGCCCCTGTGGAAAACTATAGTAAGCCGCTACCAGTTATGCATTTAAATAGTCAGGAGGATACAAAGATAAAAATCCATTGGACATCTCACCCAATTTTGGTAGACACTCGAGGCACTCTTTTTACTTTACACCCCACTTTTACAAGATAGCCTTTCTCTTGGAACAAAAAGGAAATGTTAGCTGTGGAGGTATGAAATCAAATTCAAGAAGAATTTGCTTCTCAACCTATACAAGTGACTCAAGGCCCTTTTCTGAAAAACATTGTATTTTGCTGTGTAACACAACTCTGGTCAAGTTATTGGGCAGAGACCTTCTGTCTGAGCTAAAAGGCCTGATATGATTTGCCTCTAACAGAGACTTGACTCTGAAATTTCCTGACTCACCTGAGCCAGATCTCCTGTACGCTTGACCATCTGTCCTAGATACAGAGGAAGAGGACGGTCTACAAAATGCCCCTGACTTAACCGAGAAACTCAGTGGCATATTGGCCATGTCTAATACTAGTATTGAAAGAATAAAAAGTGCAGAGCCTATTAAAATTTAAATAGACCCCACTAAGCCTCTTCCCAAATTCCCTTAACATCCATTAAAGCTGGAGGCCATACAAAGTCTTGAGCCAATAATAGAAGATTCAATTGCTCAGAGATTAATTATATCATGTACCAATCCTTGTAACTCCCCAGTCTTCCCTGTAAAAACCTAACAGCCAAAGGTAGCAATTTGTTGAGGATTTACAAACCTTTAACAGGATAGTTATTTCCCATTTTCCCGTGGTTCCAAACCCTACTCTTTTGTCACAGCTTCTCCCAAATTCTAAGTGGTTTACAGTGGTATACCTATGATTAACCTTCCTTAGCATTCTAGTTGACCCCAACAGTCAATATCTGTTTGCTTTCACCTGGAATAATCAATAATATACCTGGATAATCATGCCTCAGGGGTTCACTGAAGGCCCCTCCTATTCCTCTCAAGTGCTTGAGACTTGAGTGCTCTCCAGTTCCTAGAGGCTTGACTCTCTCTTGCAATATGTGGATGGCCTCTTACTGTGTTTGCTGACTAAGGAGGTATCCCAACAGGACTCTATCTATCTGTTACAATGGTTAGTAGAGAAGGGACATAAGGTTTCCCAAGACAAATTATAGTTATCATCAGATACTGTTCACTATTTGGGACATGATCTAAGTGCTGCAAGTCTCCAACTGTCTCCTAATAAAGTTAGGCTTATCCAAGATTTGCCCAGACCTGTAAATAGGAGACAACTTTGCAGGTGTTTAGGTTTAGTTGGATATTGCTGTCTGTGAGTCCCTAATATTTTCCTATTAACATTTATGAAGTCTAAAAGCTCAGTTCTTGAACCCCTAAAAGCTCAGTTCTTGAACCCCTTCCTTGGGAAGAAAAAACACGAGACAGCCTTTGTAGGATAATAAGGGCATTACAAAATAACAAAGCTCCCCTGCTTTGGGATTGCTCAATTATTCAAAACCTTCCACCCTGTTTGTGCAAGAGAGTAATAACCAGACTTTGGGAATGGTCACACAGCTACATGGTGGAAAGCTTGGGCCATGGATTATTATAGTGCTTAATTAAACTCAGTCACTAGGGCATACCCAAATTGCCTTAAAGCTAGATGTGTTGGAAAAACTGGTTGTAGCTTCTGGAAATCTGATCTTAGGTAATGCTGTGTATCCCCACACACCACTTGCAGTACAGTCTTCTCAATTCTAGCTGTGTCCAACATCTTTTTGAGAGCAGACCAATCTCTTATGAAATCCTTTTAATCTCACTGTTTAATCCTCATTTGAAATGCTATCATGCTCCCAATCCTACTTTGTTACCCTTATTTGATGAAGGTCAACCACATGACTGTAAAATGGTAACCTCTCAATCAGTCATTATTTCCCATCTTGATTTACAGGACATTCCTTTTCAAAATCCTTTTTGAGTGTTTTTTTTTTTTTTTTTTGGATGGATCTTAATGTTAAAGATCAGGAAGAAAACTTTTGTGCTGGATATGCATTCACCATCCAATATGAGTTCATTGAAAGTGGCAAACTTCCCTACTTGAAGTCTGCTCAAGAGGCAGAGCTTTGTGCACTTGCCCGTGCCTGTATTTTATCTAAAAACCAGTCTGACTGACAGTTGCTATGCCTTTGCGGTAGTTCATAACTTCGGAATGCTTTGGAAACAAAAAGATTTCTTCACATCTGCAGGCACGTCAATAAAATATGACCCATAAGTTGATGAGTTCCTTACTGCTATACTGCTGTCTAAAGAGATTGCTATCATAACAAAGAGGCTCCTATAAAAAGCCTCTATTGCTATCAGGGAGATGCTCTACCCAGCTTTCATGCCAAAACTATTACTCCACCCTGTGAGGTCTGTTATGTAAATCCTTCAGCTAAAAAGAAAAACTATAAAGCAACGGTCCTCAACCTTTTTGGTGACTGGCTTCGTAGAAGACAGTTTCTCCACAGACAGGGTCGGGGGATGGTTTCAGAATGATTCAAGTGCATTACATTTATTGTGCACTTTATTTCTATTATTATTACATTGTATTACATAATGAAATAATTATAGAACTCACCATAATGCAGAATCTACGGGAGCCCTGAGCTCGTTTTCCTGCAATTAGATGGCCCTATCTGAGGGTGAGGAAAGACCATGACACCCGAAATGTGTTGCTTACATTCAGTCTACTCTGTAACCTCGTTTTATTTGCTGTCACTGCAGAAAACCCTGTTTCACAAAGGTAGGATGTTAGAAATGGAAACAGGCTTTTCAGTGCTCTTGTGGCAATTGCCGGATATTCCACCTTGACAGTTAGGATTTGAAGTTGTCTTAAACATCCTTTTAAGGCCACTGTCACTTGCAGTGTCAAGCAGTTGATCCTCTTCTAGCGTGGACAAAGTCAATTCACCTGGCTTATTCACAAATGGGTCGTGTATCCATTCCTTCCCAGTCTGGGGGTCTTTTGTGGTTGGGAAGTAATGCTCAGACTCTTTTGAAAGCTGAGATAGGTGATCACCCACCAGCTGAAAGAAAGAAGGCCCTGGCTCAGTCTCTCTCAAAGTCTCTCCTAATGTTTGAAACATGTCAGAAATCCCCACGTTCACTAGTGGCCCCCATAATTTTAGTTTGGCTTTGAATGCTGCCACTTTATCTGCCAACTTGAACCCAGCTGTTGTTCTCCCCCAAAGTGACAGGTTGAATTTGTTGAGCAGGTTGAATATGTCACACAAGTAAGCAAGTTTTGTGACCCATACTGTGTCACTGAAATGTGCTGCCAGTGGTGACTATTTTTCTAAAAGAAATCTTTGAAGTGGCTCTTGTAATTCAAAAACTCTGGCCAGCAATCTACCTTTAGAAAGCTATCTCACTTCTGTATATAAGAGAAGGCCTGTGTGCTCTGCATCCATCTCCTCACAGAGCTGCACAAACAGACATCAGTTAAGGGCATGTACTTTGATGTGGTTGATCATTTTAATCACATGCTGCAAAATGATAAGTTCAGGTGATGTTTCTCAGCTTGCAAGCATTTCTCTATGGATGACATGGTGCATTTCTCTATGGATGACACGGTGCAGCTAGCAAGCATTTCTCTATGGATGACACGGTGCTTCTGACTCACATTCAGAAGCAACCTCTTGGACCCTAGTAGTGAAACCAGAAAGCCGTCCAGTCATGGCAGCCACTCCATCTGTGCATATGTGACACAAGATGACCATTTCAGTTTTCCTGATATGTAATCGTTCAAAGACTTGAATAGTTCTGCAGCCATAGTGTTGGTTGGCAACGAAAAGTGCACATAACACATCCTCATGCACATCCTCCTGAAAAATATAGTGCACAAAAACAAGCATTGTTGCCTTGTTGTCAACATCAGTAGGCTCATCAACCTGGATTGTGTACCACAGCCACTCATTCATCCTCTCTAACAGTTGTGCCTCAGTATCCTCTGCTATTTCATCAATTCATCTAGTTATGGTGCTAGGTGAAAGAGGAACACATGCCACCTTTTGAACTGCAGTCTGTCCTAAAGATCATGATATATGTCCTTAGCAACAGGCAGGATCAATTCTTCACCAATAGTAAAGGGCTTCTTAGCTTTAGCAGTGCAGTTAGCCACCAAGAATTATTCTGAGTGCAGACACATTTGATGAAGCGGTGTCCTTCAATAATTGCTTCTGTTCGTTATGTTCATGTTTTTTTTTTCTTTTGAAAAACTGCAGAGGCTTACCTTTTAATGCAGGGTGCTTTGTCTCTATGTGGTGAAGCAGTTTTGAAGGTTTCATGGCTTTGTTGGATAGCCAGTTGCCATATGTTATACATAGTGGGCTTGGAGAATGTGACTCACCTGTTGCAATAGACCTGTAATTTAAGTAGGACACTTGGTATTTTCTTTTAAATGGAGCTTTCTTTTTGCTCACAGTCTTAGTCTTCTGCTGTTTCATAATTGGGTATTTTCCCTTTTTCAAAGAAGCTCTCCATTGACGTTTGTTTTTTACTCATTTTGGCTATGGTTAGCATGTGGGCTTACCAAAACTGTGACTGTGACAAGTACACAATGCGGGAAAGAGTCACGGACAGCAGTGATGAATAAAATAACGGGCGGGCCACACGTGGACTAAAATAAGTCTCAGATTCTGACTTAAAGCCTGCCACCAGATGCAGCTATACAATTGAAGTACCTCAACTTACTTTCCACTATAAAGCCTGCCACCAGATGCAGCTTAATTGTCACTTGCCACTCTCTGATAGGGTTTTGATATGAGTCTACAAGCAATTGATTTATTATGGTCTCTGTGCAGTCAAACCTCTCTGCTAATGTTAATCTGTATTTGCAGCTGCTCCCTAGCGCTAGCATCACTGCCTCAGTTCCACCTTAGATCATCAGGCATTAGATTCTCATAAGGAGCATGAAACCTAGATCCCTCACATGTGCAGTTCACAATAGGGTTCTTATTCCTATGAGAATCTAATGCTGCTGCTGATCTGACAGGAGGTAGAGCTCAAGTGGTAATACAAGTGATGGGGAGTGGCTTTAAATACAGATAAAGCTTCACTTGCTCACCTGCCACTCACCTCCTGCTGTGTGGCCCAGTTCCTAACAGGCCAAGGACCTGTTACCAGTCCAGGTAGCAGGGAGCATGCTTTATAGCAGGGGTCTCCAAACCCCAGGCCACAGACCGGTTAAGCAGGGGTTGGGGATCCCTGCTATAAAGCACATTTCCTGCTACCTGACTTTGCCTCTTTAAACCCAGATACTGTTGGCTATGGACAACAAAGTGCTTCTAAGCATGAAAAAGAATATTGTCAATGAGTGGGATGCTATTTTAATTTCTTTTCCTAACTGTGGGAAAATGAAGAGGGTTATATGGTGTTCCCAGGCTTCCTTAAGGGACCTTTGTTAGGCTCCTTACATTTCTTTATCCATAATGGTATTGGTAAGATGATACAAAGAATCAGTAGGTATTGGTGAGGAAACCATTATAAAATTGCAAACATTATTTATAATCAGTGCTTAATCGGTCAACCTCTGAAGCCAGGAAAGTCTGTTTCTGTTCTTCCTGGGATGACTCCTGTCCATCAGGCCCATCTGAGCATTTATAATTAGATTTCAATTAACTCCTACCAAGTATGGGTTATCAAGATGTACTTGCTATAGTCTGTATGTTTTCTGGATGGGTCAGACCTAGGATGGGATAGTCTTCCTGGTGCATGCTCTCAAAAGTCTTAAATTCCTGCATGCAGTCATCCACCCAATGCCAAATAGTCTCTCTCCAGCCAGAATGACAAAAACTCAAAGAAATGTGTAATAATGAGGACACTCTAACCTGTGAATAATGTGTTGAGACTGAAAATCCAGAATGATGATCACTGAGTGTAGCACTGATGCCCTAAGTCTCACCTGGGTGAGAGCCTGACCAAAAGCAGGGGTTTGTTAAATAAAATATACAGGAAGCCATTGTTTTGGATTGAGCTCCTCTGCTAGACCCCAACAGACCAAACCAAAATGCAGTCACTCATGCTGATTGCCACATAATCAAACTGCAACTTTAAGGAAGCAAGATAATCCTCACCCCGCCCTGCCCGTCCCAAAGGCCAGTTTTTCCTAAAAATACGAGATTCACAGCAGCCAATCAGAAAGGGCCCAGTTACCCTGAGCCAACATGCTCTCTGCTTTAACCCTTACAAAGAAAGTGACCTGAAGTAACCTGATGTTAACCAATCCACATTTATTTTTGTGTTTTTCTGTTTCCTTGTTCTTGCTCAAGCTATCTCACAAAACTGACTGTTCTGCCATGTCCAGTGGAGCTTCCCTCTATTTTTACATGGGAGGCTGACTGATTCATGAATCACTAGTAAAAGCCAATTAGACATTTAAACTAAATTGGTTGAAATTTTGTTTTTTAACAGGATACATGAAGAGATTAATCATGATTCTTGATTCATGATATGCTTTTATCAAATGTCTATATAGGGACTTCTATCTATTAACAATAACAACAACAACAACAATAATACACATTGTTAAAACCACCACCTAACATGAAACTAGAACCCTGACAATAGCTTTCATCAATGTGGTTTCTACTCATTTCCTCTCCGTGGATTTAAGGGGGAAATATTTGCATTCAATTTTTTTTAAAGGAGCAAAGAAAGTAAAAGCATCTCAGTGGATTTTCCACGTTCAAAGAGTTTGAGTGTTTCCCAGCTATTCTCTAAGGTTTCACAAATTGACTCACCTTTTTAGGAAGCTGACTCTTTGACACTTTGGGAGCTGAATTTTATAGTAGCATTAACCATGCAAATTTCCTAGAAACCTCAGTGTCATTGAACAAGTAAATCCTATTGCTGCATTTGTCACTAGTCATAGGCAGAAACATCTTTTTTTATAAGAAATTTTAACCCTTACTTTGTTAAAACTATTACTTTACCAAAATACCACAAACATTTTATCAAAGACACATACAGACTGTGTGCTGAGCAGTGGCTAATATCTTGCCTGACCACCTTTGATTTTCTTCATTGTCCGCAATGAAGTATCTGCAATTGCTCATAAACCTAAAGGTGAGAGGACACTGGAAATGGTGTTATGGTCCTCTCTGCCCTCTAACCATCACCTAATCTTGTGATTCTTCCAACCTTACAAAAGAGGAAAAAACAAAAAGCAGGCACCATTTTGGGTAAGTCCAAAATATGTTCTAATCTATTTTTATCACAGTAAAACTTTGATTAGCCCAAACTAACATTCTGAATCTAGGAACAGTCAGACCTGTCACTCCACACACTTGAATTTTTAACAAAAGAACATGATGAAACAAGGACATCACCTCCCACAGATGTGCTAAGTGCCCTGTTGTAGCTACAATGCCACTCTATTGATTGAGGATTGTAATGCACATGCCTCTTAGCAACAGTTTTAGTTGCCTAATTTGAGTTGGCAGCTGTATTAGGATTTTTAGAGGAACAGAACCAATGGGATGGATGGATGGACAGATAGGTAGATAGATAGACAGATAGATAAGAGATTTATTAGGGGAATGGGCTCACATAATTATGGAGACAGGGAAGTCTCACAACAGGCTCTCTGCAAGCTCAAGACCCTGGGATGGCAATATTGTGGCTCATTCCAAGTCCAAAAGCCTCAGAATCAGGAAAACCCATAGAGTAATTCTCAGTCCAAGGCTGAAGCCCTGAGCACCTGGGAGGCCACTGTTGTGAGTCCTGGAGTTCCAAATCTGGAGAGCCTGGAGTTCTGATGTCCAAGGGCAGGAGGAGACTGTCTCAGCTCTAGGAGAGGGTAAGAGAAAGTTCTTTTCTCTTCTTTTTTTTTTTTGTTCTATTCAGGCCCCCAGTTGATTGGATGGTGCCTGCCCACATTGAAGGTGAATCTTCCCCACTCAGTCCACTGATTCTTATGCCAGTCACCACTGGGAACACCCTCACAGATAGCCAGAGGTAATGCTATACCAGTTCTCTAGGTATTCCTTAATTCAGCCAAGGTGACACATAAAATTAGCCATCACATTAGTTAACTTCCATCACTCTGTATTCAGCCTCTTTGCTGCAATGATTGGAATCTACATTCCTTTCGTGTCTCTCATGTTTTTGTCTAGCTCTTGGCAGCAACTCCATAGTCCTTCTAAAAATAGGTTTAACTGATTAAAATATTTTGCTTCGAAGTTTTATTTACTTATCTTACAAATGATTTATTCTCACTGTGGAAAAATAACAATATAGTAAAGCAGAAAGAAAATCAAAATTTTATAAGTCAGATTAAACATCATTGTGGTCCTTTCTCTGTCTCTCATTTTGTATGTTTGCATGTGCATGTGCATGTGCATGTGTGTATGTGTGCCTGTGTGCGTGTGTGTGCATGTAAAAGGACAGTTTTGGCTGTTTGAAGTTGGCAATTATCTCACCAAAATTTCCCACCAGTGTGTGTTTGCATCTATTGAAATGCTATGGCTTTTCTTTTGCAAGTAGAGGAGAACAGAGGAGTTGGGTTGGGGGCAGAGTGTAAGAAAAGAAGGAGGAAACTAAAGGGAATAAGGTGGCACCTCTCTCATCCTACCCACTCAACTAGGTTTGAGTCACTGATCAGAGCCAAAAATGGAACAAACTGAATTATAGTTGATCAGGTGTGAACCATTTCCCTCATCATGACTTTATACTGATGTGGTATGTATATAGGATCTGTTGGGAACTCCTCAAAAGAACCAGGGGACACTTCAACTGGCTCTAAGTTTCTGCTTTGAGGAGGGGAAGCTGAGCGGTGTTATATTTGGATGTACATATATGTGATGCTATTTTACATTCATTCAACTTTCCAGTCAATCTTTGTTGAGTGCTATGTTAGTTTTCTACTGCTGTTGTAACAAATCACTACAGATTCAAAACAACACAAATTTATTCTCCTAAAATTCATGGGGTCAGAAGTCCAAAATGAGTGTTATGGATTAAAATTAAGTTGTTGGCAGAGTTGCTCCTTTTGAAGTCTGTGAAGAAGAACCCATTCCTTGCTTATTTTGCATTCTAGAGGCTGCTGCATCCTTGGGCATCATCCCACTCATGTCACCTTTCATTCCCCTTCCTCTGTTATTACATCACCTCTTTCTTCTTTGGCCTTTTTGCCTCTCTCTTATGAAGACCCTTGTGATTACATTTAGTGCCCACCCAGATAATTCAGGATAATTCCCCTTCTGAAGATCACGTCGGCAAAGACCCTTTTGCCATATAAGGTTTTCAAATTATTAAAGGAAGAAAACTTGGAATCCAGAATTTTATATCCAGCAAACTGTTATTCAGATGTGTAGGCATGGTAAAAATGTTTCCAAGTATAGGCACTCCTCAGTTTACATGGTAATGCAGGACTAAAAAGGTTTTGCTGAAACCATGCAAAGCTATATTAATAATTAATCAGAAAACTGGGAATTGTTCCATGCCCTTCAGAAATTTTTGTCAAAATATTAAAAACTCTTATTCATAAATGTATTAGGAAATGAAAAAAATAGTAAAACTAGTATTTATTTAGTATATTATGATTTAAATCTTAGAAACATTGAGAATTAACAAATTTCTTTGTGAAAAATATCAAGAATATGATATTTTCATATCTTTGAATTGTTTGATTAAAGGATATAAAGTTTCAGATAGATGGGAGGAATAAATTTTGAGTTCTATTGCATAGTAGGGTGACTAGTTAATGATAGTGTATAACATATTTCAAAATAACTAATAAAGTAAATTTCAAGTGTCTCACCACAAAAAAAATGGGTGAGGTGATGAATATGTTAATTATCTTGATTTAGTGGTTCTACATGGTAAAATTTATTAAAACATCACATTGTCTCTTATAAATACAATTATGATTTGTCAATTAAAAATCATAATTAAAAAGTATCAAGAGTAGTTTGAATAATGCTTGCTTTCTTTACTTCATATAAATTATGGTGTATCAATTACCTCCTAATTAAATAAGTTAATCTATTTTACTCCTTATTGGCCACTTTGTGATTCTTTCTTTTTTTGCCTAAATTCGTGATGATATTCCCTTCCAAAAAAAGTCTGTCTCATCAATATAAATATTTGCTGATCATTATAACCATCTGCCTTAACTATTTCTCAGAATCTGAGTGCAGATTTTACAGCAACATTTTTATTTGCAATAGTAGCTTCACCAGATAGTTTAACATTAATCAATTCACGCTAATTTCTGAAATGGTGAAATCAGACTTTATCTTCATTCTCCTTGTAATTACTGTTTGTTTTCCATGTGGTAACTAATTTCACATTTTGCCATGAATTCTTGCCAAATGATTGGAATTGTTTGTTAAATCTTTAAAGTAGAAGTAAATGCTCAATTTCAATGATAAGTGGCTTTCTGTTAAATGGTGCAATTTAAATTAAAATATGTTGATATGACTTTATCTTATTTTTTGTATTTATCAGACATTTTCAACATGGTTCATACTGTACCATCCTGCAGACCTAGTTCTCATCTTTTGCTTTGCTGCTGCCATTTTCAAATCTTATAATTACATCCAATTTCACTTTCAGACTTAACACTTTTTATTTCTTTTGCAATTCATCTTTGTTAGCCAGTTCCTTCATTTGATTATCCATTTTTGCAAAAACATCACATGAGGTTGGTTATCACTGGGAGACAATGAGGCAACACAGCTACATGCTTTGCTCTTGTCACTTGACCTGATTAACAGATGCACAGTGACTGATCGCCAACAGACTTTGAAAGAGTGGTGTGGATGGTCACTGCTCATGATCTATCTCTTATTTACATGCTGATTGAAGACTGAAGGGCAAAATTTTTATTTTATGTAATTAATCACAGTTATAATAACTATATACTGAAATTGAACCATTGCTGTTAGAGTCTGCTGTTATTTAACTAAATTGCAGTAACTGAAATTTGCATATATCAGAATTATGCTTAATGAGGACTGTTTGTATATAAGATTTCAGAAGCTTTACCTCACCAAGTTCCAAAGTGAAGACAAATTTCAGATGAGCTGCTGAAATGAGAAAAGCAATGACATGGGAAAAAAAGAAAGAAAATCAATGACAAAGAAGATGTTGTGTTCTAAGAAATTTATGAAATAAAGGTGATCAAATAGTGTTTCTTGTTGCTTGGAAAAATATTTGAGACCAAAGAAAAATGGAAAATATATCTATATCACATAAAATTAAATATCTAGATTATAACAAGCTAATGGGGTGGGGGAGAAGAGAGGGAGAAGGAAAGGATGTGAGAACATGCTAAACTTTTTGTTTCATTAGCAGGAAAATAAGATATCAAGTTTTAAAAACGCAAAGTTAAAAGCAACTAAAATCAAATATGTGCTTTTAGAGGGGTACATCTAGATACAAGAAAACTACATAAAAATAAAAGCAAAGGAATGACAAACATGTGATTCAAGATGATGGTTGTTGGGTTGGGGGAGGCAATGAGTAGGACAGGAGAGACTATACAGTTAGTGTAAGTTACTATTGGGGCCCTAGCTTTTGTTTTGGAGGTGTGGTATACAGCTCAGTGACTGCTGTGAGCTGTATGTTTCCCAGGATTTGTGACTTCCACGGAAGCTTAAGCCAGACTCTATTTAGCTTCTCTTTTGTAAGGGTTTGGGTTGTCTTTTAATAGTGGCAATAAAGCTCACTATTTTATGTATTTATTTTAAAAATAATTTTAACTTTTATTTTAGATTCAAGAGATGTATGTGCATGTCTGTCACATGGGAACTCTGTGTGACACTGAGATTTGAGGTATGGATGATCCCATCACCCAGGCAGTGAGCACAGCACCCAATAGGTCACCCCTCAGACCTTCCTCCCTCCCTTTCTCCTCCAGCAGTCTTCATTGTCTATTGTTTCCATCTTTGTGTCCACGTGTACTCAATGTTTAACTTCCACTTATAAGTGAGAATATGCAGTATTTGGTTTTCTGTTCCTGCGTTAATTTGCTTAGGATAATGGCCTCCAGCTGCACCCATATTGCTGCAAAGGATATGATTTCATTCTTTTTTATGGCTTCATCATATTCCATAGTGTATATGTAGCACATTTTCTTTATCCAGTCCATCGATCTTTTTTCCCTAAGTTATTGGGGGTACAGGTGGTATTTGGTTACATGAGTAAGTTCTTTAGCGGTGACTTGTGAGATCTTGGTGTTCCCATCACCCGAGCAGTATACACTGCACCATATTTGTAGTCTTTTATCCCTCGCCCTCCTTCCATTCTTCCCCCCAAGTCCCCAATATCCATTGTATGATTCTTATGCCATTGTGTTTCATAGCTTAGCTCCCACATATCAGTGAGAATGTTCTCATATGATGAGAATGTTCTCATACAATATTCTCATACGATGTTTGGTTTTCCATTCCTGAGTTACTTCACTTAGAATAATAGTCTCCAGTCTCATCTAGGTCTCTGCGAATGGTGTTAATTCATTCCTTTTTATGGCTGCATAGTATTCCATTGTATATACATACCATAATTTATTTATCCACTCATTGATTGATGGGCATTTGGGTTGGTTCCACAATTTTTCAATTGTGAATTGTGCTGCTATAAACATGCGTGTGCAAGTATCTTTTTCATATGACTTCTTTTCCTCTGAGTAGATACCCAGTAATGGGATTGCTGGATCAAATAGTAGTTCTACTTTTAGTTCTTTAAGGAATCTCCACACTGTTTTCCACAGTGGCTGTACTAGTTTACATTCCCACCAGCAGTGTAGAAGTGTTCCCTGTTCACTACATCCACGTCAACATCTACTGTTTTTTTGATTTTTTGATTATGGCCATTCTTGCAGGAGTGAGGTGGTATCACATTGTGGTTTTGATTTGCATTTCCCTGATCATTAGTGATGTGAACACTTTTTCATATGTTTATTGGCCATTTGTATATCTTCTTTTGAGAATTGCCTATTCATGTCCTTGGCCCACTTTTGTTTGGTTTTGTTTTGTTTTGTTTTTAGATGGAGTCTTGCTCTGTCACCCAGGCTGGAGTGCAATGGTGCAATCTCCGCTCACTGCAACCTCCACCTCCTGGGTTCAAGCGATTCTCCTGCCTCAGCCTCCTGAGTAGCTGGGATTACAGGTGCACACTGCCATGCCCAGCTAATTTTTTTGTATGTTAGTCGAGACGGGGTTTCACTGTGTTGCCCAGGCTGGTCTTGAACTCTTGAGCTCAGGCAATCCACCTGCCTCCCCCTCCCAAAGTGCTAGGATTACAGGCATGTGCCACCATTCCTGGCCATGTTTGTTTGTTTCTTACTGATTTGTTTGAGTTCGTTGTAGATTCTGGATATCCTTTGTCAGAAGTACAGATTGTGAAGATTTTCTCCCACTCTGTGGGTGGTCTGCTTACTTTGCTGACTGTTCCTTTTGCTGTGCAAAAGCTCTTTAATTTATTATTTACTATATATATGTATATGTATGTATATATATACATACATATATATATACACACATACATATATATACACACACAGACACACACATATATATATAAAATTATAAGTTTAGGTCCCAGCTATTTATCTTTGTTTTTATTGCATTTGCTTTTGGGTTCTTGGTCATGAAATCCTTCCTTAAGCCAATGTCTAGAAGGGTTTTTCCAATGTTATCTTCTAGAATTTTTATGGTTTCAGGTCTTAGGTTTAAGAGCTTAATCCATCTTGGGTTGATTTTGTATGAGGTGAGAGATGAGGATCCAGTTTCATTCTCCTACATGTGGCTAGCCAATTATCCCAGCACCATTTGTTGAATAGAGTGTCCTTTCCCTGCTTTTATGTTTTGTTTGCTTTGTTGAAGATAAGTTGACTGTATTTGGCTTTATTTCTGGATTCTTTATTCTGTTCCACTGGTCTATGTGCCTATTTTTGTACCAGTGCCGTGCTGTTTTGGTGACTATGGCCTTATAGTTTGAAATCAGGTAGTGTGATGCCTCCAGATTTGTTCTTTTTACTTAGTCTTGCTTTGGCTATACAAGCTCCTTTTTGGTTCCATATGAATTTTAGAATTGTGTTTTTCTAATTCTGTGAAGAATGATGGTGTTATTTTGATAAGGATTGCATTGAATTGTTAGATTGCTTTTGACAGTATGGCCACTTTCACAATATTGATTCTATCCACATGAGCATAGGATGTGTTTCCATTTGTTCATGTCATCTATGATTTCTTTCAGCAGTGTTTTATAATTTTCCTTGTAGAGGTCTTTGGATCCTTGGTTAAGTATATTTCTAAGTATTTTATTTTATTTTTATTTTTGCAGCTATTGTAAAAGTGGTTGAGTCCTTGATGTGATTCTCCACTTGGTCACTGTTGGTGTATAGAAGAGCTACTTATTTGTGTACATTAATGTTGTATCCAGAAACTTTGCTGAATTCCTTTATCAGTTCTAGGAGCTTTCTGGAGAAGTCCTTAGGGTTTTCAAGGTAAATGATCATATCGTCAGCAAACAGTGACAGTTTGACTTCCTCTTTACCGATTTGGATGCCCCTTATTTCTTTCTCGTGTCTGATTTCTCTGGCTAGGACTTCCAGTACTATGTTGAAGAGGAGTGGTGAGAGTGGGCATCCTTGACATTTTCCAGTTCTCAGAGGGAATGCTTTCAACTTTTCCCCATTCAGTATTATGTTGGCTGTGAGTTTGTCACAGACGGCTTTTATTACATTAAGGTATGTCCCTTGTGTGCTGATTTTGCTTAGGGTTTTGGTCATAAAGGGATCCTGGATTTTGTTGAATACTTTTTTTGCATCTATTGAGATGATCATGTGATTTTTGTTTTTAATTCTGTTTATGTTGTGTATCACATTTATTGACTTCTGCATGTTAAACCATCCCTGCATCCCTGGTATGAAACCCATTTGATCATGGTGGATTATCTTTTTGATACGTTGTTGGATTGGGTTAGCTACTATTTTGTGAAGGATTTTAGTGTCTGTATTCATCAAGGATATCAGTCTGTAGTTTTCTTTTTTGGTTGTGTCCTTTCCTAGTTTTGGTATTAGGGTGATGCTGGCTTCATAAAATGAATTAGGGGAGGTTCCTTCTTTATCTTGTGGAATAGTGTCAAAAGGATTGGTGCCAATTCTTTGAATGCCTGGTAGAATTCTGCTGTGAATCCATGTGGTCCTGGACTTTTTTTTGTTGGTGATTTTTATATTACCATTTCAATCTTGCTGCTTGTTATTGGTCTGTTCAGGGTTTCTAATTCTTTCTGATTTAAGCTAGGAGGGCTGTATTTTTCCAGGAATCTACCCATCTTTTCTAGGTTTTCCAGTTTATGTGCATAAAGGTGTTCATAGTAGCCTTGAATGATCTTTTGTATTTCAGTGGTGTCAGTTGTAATATCTCCTGTTTCATTTCTGAGTGAGGTTATTTGGATCTTCTCTTCATTTCTTGGTTATTCTTGCCAATGGTCTATCAATTTTATTTATCTTTCAAAGAACTAGCTTTTTGTTTCATTTATCTTTTGTATTTTTTGTTTGTTTGTTTCAATTTCATTTAGTTCTACTCTGATCTTGGTTATTTCCTTTCTTCTGCTGGGTTTGGGTTTGGTTTGTTCTTGTTTCTTAGTTCCTTGAGGTATGACCTCAGAGTGTCTGTTTGCACTCTTTTGATCTTTTTGATGTAGGTATTTAGGGCTATGAAATTTCCCCTTACCATTGCCTTTGCTGGATCCCAGAGGTTTTGATAGATTGTGTCATTATTGTCCTTCATTTCAAATAATTTTTAAATTTCCATCTTGATTTCATTTTTGACCCAATGCTCATTCAGGGGCAGGTAATTTAATTTCCATGTATTTGCATTGTTTCAAAGGTTCCTTTTGGAGTCGATGTTCAGTTTTATTCCACTGTGGTCCAAGAGAGTGCTTGATATAATTTCAATTTTCTTAAATTTACTGGGGCTCATTTTATGGTCTATCATATAGTCTGTCTTGGAGAAAGTTCCATGCACTGTTGAATAGAATGCATATTCTCCGATTGTTGGATGAAATGTTCTGTATATATCTTTTAAGTCCATTTGTTCCTAGGTATAGTTTAAATCCATTGTTTCTTTGTTGACTTTCTGTCTTGATGACCTGTCTAGTGCTGTCAGTGGAGTATTGAAGTCCCCTACTATTATTATGTTGCTGTGTGTTTCATTTCTTAGGTCTATTAGTAATTGTTTTATAAATTTGGAAGCTCCAGTGTTAGGTGCATATATGTTTAAGATTGTGATATTTTCCTGTTGGACAAGGCCTTTTACCATTATATAATGTCCCTCATTGTTTCTTTTAATTGCTGTTGCTTTAAAGTTTGTTTTGTCTGATATAAGAATAGCTACCCCTGCTCACTTTTGCTTTCCATTTGCAAGAAATGCCTTTTTTCCACGTCTTTACTTTAAGTTTATGTGAGTCGTTATGTGTAAGTTGAGTCTCCTGAAGGCAGCAGATAGTTGGTTGGTGAGTTCTTATCCATTCTGCAGTTCTGTATCTTTTAAGTGGAGCATTACTTACATTCAATGTTAGTATTGAAATGTGAGGTACTGTTGCATTTATCATGTTTTTGTTGCCTGAGTACTTTGTGTGTTTTGTTTTTGCTTTTTAACTTGTATTTTTGTTTTATAGGTCCTGTGTAATTTATGCTTTAAAGAAGTTCTGTTTTGTTGTGTTTCCAGGATTTGTTTCAAGATTTAGAGCTCCTTTTAGCAGTTCTTGCAGTGGTGGCTTGGTAATGGCAAATTCTCTCAGCATTTGTTTGTCTGAAAAAGACTGTATCTTTCCTTCCTATATGATGCTTAGCTTCACTCGACACAAAATTATTGGCTGTTAAGTGTTTTGTTTGAGGAGGCTGAAGATAGGACCCCAGACCCTTCTAGCTTTGTAGAGTTTCTGCTAAGAAATCTGCTGTTAATCTGATAGGTTGTCCTTTATAGGTTACCTGATGCTTCTGCCTCACAGCTCTTAAGATTCTTTCCTTCGTCTTAACTTTGGATAACCTGATGACTTGCGATGAATTTCCTGAGTGTTCTTTGTGCTTCTTGTGTTTGGATTTCTGGGTCTCTAGCAAGGCCAGGAAAGTTTTCCTTGATTATTCCCCCAAATATATTTTCCAAGCTTTTAGAATTCTCTTCTTCCTCAGAACACTGATTATTCATTCTTAGTTTTGGTCATTTAACATAATTCCAGACTTCTTGGAGGCTTTGTTCATATTTTTCTTTTTTCTTTGTCTTTGTTGGATTGGGTTAATTTGAACACCTTTTCTTTGAGTTCTGAGTTTCTTTCTTCTACTTGGTTCAATTCTATTGTTGAGACTTTCCTGAGCATTTCACATTTCTAAAAATGTGTCCAAAGTTTCCTGAATTTTTCATTGTTTTTTTTTCTTTAAGCTATCTATTTCCTTGAACATTTCTCCCCTCACTTCTTGTATCTTTTTTTTTTTTTTTTTTTTTTTTTTTTTTTTTGGATTTCCTTGCATTGGGCTTCGCCTTTCTCTGGTCCCTCCCTGATTAGCTTAATAACTAACCTCCTGAATTCTTTTTCAGGTAAATCAGGAATTTATTCTTGGTTTGGATCCATTGCTGGTGAACTAGTGTGATTTTTTGGGGGTGTTGAAGAGCCTTGTTTTGTCATATTACCAGGGTTGGTTTTCTGGTTTCTTCTCATTTGGGTAGGCTCTGTCAGAGGCAAGGTCTAGGGTGGAAGGCTATTGTTCAGATTCTTTTGTCTCATGGGGTGTTCCCTTGATGTAGTACTCTCCCCCTTTTCCTATGGATGTGGCTTCCTACAAGCCGAACTGCAGTGATTGTTATCTCTCTTCTGGGTCTAGGCACCCAGCGAGTCTACCCAGCTCCGGGCTGGTACTGGGGGTTGTCTGCACAAGAGTGCTGTGATGTGAACTGTCTATGGGTCTCTCAGTCATGGACACTAGCGCCTTTTCTGGTGGAGGTTGGGGGGCGGGTGTGCAATGGACTCCGTGAGGGTCCTTAGCACACTAGATCAGTGGAGTTATGTACCTATGAGGATTATGGATGCCTCTGCTGAGTCATGCAGGTTGTCAGGTAAGTGGCGGTAAGCTGGCAGTCACAGGCTTCACCCAGCTCCCATGCAAACCGAAGGGCTGGTCTCACTCCCACTGTGTCCTCTGCCAACAGCCCCAGTCTGTTTCCAGGTGGAGGGCTATATGGCTTGAAAACCGGCCCCAGGCTATCTACCTCCCAGCTGCGAAAGAAAAGGGCTTCGTTCCTTCTCAGCCTGTGAGTCTGCACACCAGATTTGCCCTGCCCTGAGTTCTGGCCACGAGGCTTCTCACCCCATTCAAATTGTTACAAAATTCAGCTAGAGATTTCTTTCTCCCTGTGGAGTTTTAGCCCCTGCTCCTCTGTCTACTCTCCCGATGGATCCCTGTGGTGCCAGCCAGGAATGGGCTGCTGGGGGACCCCGTGAGCTCCCAGGGCCTTACTGCTGCTTCCTCTACCCCTGTATTTCACTTGGCTAACTTGACTCAGCTCCAGGTAAAGTCAAAAACTTCTTCCACAAACAGACTTTCAGCTTCTTCAGTGAGGGTATGTGTTCAGGAGAAGAGGGCCTCCCTTTCTTACTTCCACAGTTGGGGCACTCACAGTTTTAGGGGGCTCTCCTGGGTCCTGCAGGAGTAGTCCGCTTCCTTCAGAGGGTCTGTGGGTCCTCTCGGGATTGCTGGTTTGTTCTTGTAGTCGATCTGGAGCTAAAATTCATAATGCGAGCTCCCACACGCTGCTCTGTCCGGAGCGGCAATCTAGTCCTGCCTCCCATCTGCCCTGATGATTGCTATCTCCAGTCCTTCGTTCATGAGCACTTGGGTTGATTCCATGTCTTTGCTATTGTGAATTGTGTACCAGTGAATATACGAGTGCATGTCTTTTTGGTAGAACAATTTGTTTTCCTTTGGGTAGATTCCCAGTAATGGGATTGCTGGGTCAAATAGTAGTTGTTTTTTAAGTTCTTTGAGAAATCTCCAAACTGCTTTCTAAAGTAAGCCCTCTCTTTAAATAGCTAGGTTTGTGCTTGCTATTTAGTTTACATATTAAACCCCCTTCATATTTATTTACACGTAAATAGCTGAAATATTTCATTTAGAGAATAGAGTGAATAGGAGATGAGGAAGCAGAGACTACAAGTGGAGACAATTTGTGTACGTCTAAAATTGGTAATACGTTGGTTTTAAATGTTTTTTTTTTCCTATGAAAATAAATGTTGGCGGGCGCAGTGGCTCATGCCTGTAATCTCAGCACTTGGGGAGGCCGAGGTGGGCAGATTGCCTGATGTCGGGAGTTCGAGACCAGCCTGGCCAACATGGCGAAACCCTGTCTCTACTAAAAATACAAAAATTAGCCAGGTGTGGTGACAGGTGCCTGTAATCTCAGCTACTCAGGAAGCTAAGGAAGAGAGAATCACTTGAACCCGAGAGGCGGAGCTTGCAGTGAGACAAGATTGCGCCATTGCACTCCAGCCTCGGCAACAGAGCGTCTCAAAAAAAAAAAAAAAAAAAAAAGAGAGAGAGAGAGAGAAAATAAATGTTATGCATATATTCCTGAAACCGACTTATCCCATTCAACAACATATTCTTATATTTCAGTGTTAAGAAATACAAATCTATATCACAACTTTAATGACTACATAGAATTCTATATTCGAGGACATTTCATGATTTATACAAATTGATTCTAAAAATTTTAAGTAATAAATAATGCTATGTTAAACATTTTTGTACAGTCATATTTAAACAAGTATGTGATTCTATTTTTTTCAAGCATATAATCAAACCTGGAATAGCTGAATCATTGGGTATGACATAGTTTAGGCTTTTGGTACAAATTGACATTTATTTATAAAAGGACAGTTTTCATAAGAAGAAAAAAATACAAAACAAGATGTTCAGTACTTCACATATTTTAGCATTTAACAGCTTGAAGCAACACATCTCCTTGCTGTTCTTCTAAATGTTAAGATCACATTTCAAACACACTGATCTAATTAGCCTTGGCCATCACTCTGTTGTAAGTGGCTACCCACATAATTATTAGATTATTAATAAAAGCAAGCACAAATAAGAAAAAGAGAAAGGGAATAGTCTTCAAGGTTAACTGAATATTTGAAATGTCAATGTAATGTCAAAATTTGCTGCATGGTTTGGACATAGTCCATTAAAAGTATCTTTCTCCCTGTACTATTGAAATCTCTATTACCCTGGCATCCAGTACTTTTATTTTTTTAAATTTATTTTTATTATTTATTTTTGGGATGGCGTCTGACTCTCTCGCCCAGGCTGGAGAGCAGTGGCATGATCTTGGATCACTGCAACCTCTGCCTCCTGGGTTCAAGTGATTCTCCTGCCTCAGCCTCCCAAGTAGCTGAGACTACAGGTATGCGCCACCATGCCTGGCTAATTTTGTGTATTTAGTAGAGATGGGGTTTCACCATGTTGGCCAGGCTGCTCTTGAACTCCTGACGTCAGGTGATCCACCCACCTTGACCTTCCCAACTCCTGGAATTACAGGCATGAGCCACTGCGCCTGGCCCCAGTTACTTTCAAAACCTTATTCAAGTACATGATGCAAATGAATCCAGCTTCTAGGGTGGTTCATAAATTGTAATTTCAAGGTTTAGTTCAATAAGTGAAGCATAATGACTTATTCCATTTTTCCAAAGTAAATGGTACCAACCAGAACTATGCTTGGGAGGAAGAACAGGGAAGGGATATCAGGAAATCCTGAACTTCCTTCCACCTCTTCCAAATTAACTCATGTGTCTCCTGTTTTATAAATGCCTTTGGGAGGAGATACTACCATCATCCTGCAATAAAGATGAAGCTTGAATTCACTATATATCAGCATGTGCATATTTAAGATCAGTGTTTCCTGAAGTTGTGACAGTGAGAAGAGAGAGTCGGCTGAGTGCTACAAGTATCACAGGGTTGACGAGGATGGCAGCCCCACCTGGAAGGGCTTTATAAGCGCTGAGATTCTGGAGGCAGTCTCTTGAGAATTCATAACTCTCTAGGTAACTGCATTAGTCATCAATGTAATCAGCCTTTTTCTTTCTTCTGAGTCAGGAAAGGGGTGCTGATGAGGCAAGATTCCGAACATTTGTGGATTCCTGGCCGTATACTACTGCTGTAAGACCTCCTTTTAACTGAATTTGGCCATATGCCTTTGGGCACCAGAAATTCATATCTTAATACATGTCGTTGTTGGAGTCAATACATGTTTAAACTGATATACTATATCAGTTATATTTATATCAATTCTCCCTTATTGATCCTAGAATAATTTAAAAGAAAATGAAAAGACTAGACATAATTATGGCCACACAAGACAGTAGCTACACAATTAAGTAATAAATGTTTTACAAACTTAAGTAATATATGGACCCCTCTTTCAAAGGAAAACAATTTTCTCATGGGCCACTTAATGTTTACTTAAAATATTTTAATTGTAATGTTAAAATGTATAAATATAAACTTGGTATGCATGCCTTATGCTTATACAGCTTACAAACAAAAATATACTTACAAATTAAATATAAACAAGGCTACAGAGCCAAATAAGCTTAAAGTTAACAACATTTATTTAATGTGAGACACTTGATGTTGTTTTGCTAATATTAAGGCCCTCCTTGCTGTGTGTATACAGCATGACATGGATTCTTTAGAATTTAGTGATCCATCTCATCATCTTGACTGCCCATTGGGAAAGACGCTCAATCTCTACCCATGTGGATTTTCTTGGAATTCCTGTAAGCTCCAAGGGTAAGTTAGGGTGTGCCTGGGTGTGCCTAATTAGGTACTGTTGCCCCAAAATCTGTACTCAGATTTGTACTAAATAAGCACAATTACCCAGGGTCAGGAAAAGATTTATTGCATTTTTTAAGTTTTAAAAGTAAAAATGAGATCATAGGCACTGCCCATGGCCTCTTTGTGCCCTTCTTTTATTTTTCCACATTTCTGGAAATTCTTTTTAAGTGCCTTCTAGAATTCTGTACCAGTCAGCAAAAATATTTATACCAAAGTTTGAGACAGGCAATTTTCTTTCAGTTGGAAGTAGTTGTTTCCACCTTGCTTGTATGGGGAGGGGTCTCTAATATGCACCCAATCATAATAGTCCCTGGGCTTTGTCTCCTGTTCTGCTTGCCTACCAAGGCCATGAAAACCTAAATTCTCCTTTACCTAGTTTGACAAATGCCCTCAGCTGAAATCCAGTTTTAGTCCTCAGCTTGCTTTCTGAATGATGGTCATGCCATGCTTCTGGAAATGGAAATTCCAAATCTTACCTTTGTAATTACATGCTGTACCCCCATCCCCAACGCCTGATGCAAGCATTTCAGTGATGCTGTTCTTTCTCCTCCAAGGCCAGGTGGGTTTCTAGTTGCACAGTAACAGTAATATGGAAGAGTAGACCTACCCAGTGAAAATTCACAAAGACAACCTGGCTTCTGCTTTCCAAACACAAAAGCATCATAGAAATACAAATGATAAAAATGTTAGAAACCCAAACATAGACTGTCACATGGCTGGGCATAGGGACATAAAAGACCAATTGTATGATTGTAACATAGACACTTCTTAGTTTTTTTTTTTTTTTTTAAGTTCAGAGGCACATGTGCAGTTTGTTACATAGGTAATTTTGTCATGGGGGTTTGTTGTACAGATTATTTGATCATCCAGATATTAAGCCTAGTTCTCGTTAGTTGTTTTTCCTGATCCTCTCCCTCCTCCCACCCTTCACTAGGCCCTGGTTTGTGTTGCTCCTCTCTCTCTCTCTCTGTGTCCATGTGTTCTCATCACTTAGCTCCTACTTATAAGTGAGTACGTGCGGTTGTCTGTTCCTGTGTTAGTTTGCTAAGGATAATGGCCTTCAGCTGCATCCATGTCCCTGCAAATGACATGATGTCATTCTTTTTTTATAGCTGCATGGTGTCTCTCGGCTTTTTTTTTTTTTTTTCTTGAAATGGAGTTTCACTCTTTTTGCCCAGGCTGGAGTGCAATGGTGTGATCTCGGCTCACTGCAACCTTTGCCTCCTGGGTTCAAGTGATTCTCCTGCCTCAGCCTCCCGAGTAGCTGGAATTACAGGCGACCACCACCATGCCCAGCTAATTTTGTATTTTTAGTAGGGACAGGGTTTCACCATGTTGGCCAGGCTGGTCTTGAACTCCTGACATCAGGTGATCCGCCCGCCTTGGCCTCCCAAAGTGCTGGGATTACAGGCATAAGCCACCGCGCCCGGCCTTCTCTCAGCTTTTTAAGAGAGCATTAAACTAAATGGGGCTCCTCTGACAATTTGTGACTACCAATTAGCTCTCACGTTTCCATAGACTGTTAGGACACCTTGTCCTCACTCTTTAAAAAAGGCAGACCTGGCTCTAGCTCCCCTGAGTAAGCCACCTCCCTGGTCCCCAGAAATTACAAAGTAAGAGGGCTGAGTATGATGTAGTATAGTGGGCCAGGTGATCTGGGGAGAAGGAGGCAGGGGTATGGAAATGAAGGAGAAAGGTGTGGCGAGGGTGAATGGTAGGAGAAGGGAAAGGTGAGGACAAGAGGAGGGGGCTCGTTTTTGTAGGACACTCCCAGGTGGACCTGGACATCATTACCTAGAGCAGTGTTCCTTAAATGTGCCCAGATAGGAAGCATAATTACAAAAGTAAGAACTTGCATTTTCAGAGAGCTTTCCCCCGGAAATTCTGATTCAGCAAGTCTAGAGCAAGGGCTATGGTATCTAAATGTTTCTGTTTAACGAGTGATACCATGCTAAGTAAAATACAACTTGTTTAAAATAAGGGAGTTCCTGAATTATGTCTGGCATACAATCCAATCCAGATTTCATGGAATATTGGAATGCCTGGAGATATAACAATCTTAGAACAAAACATTTGTAAAGCAGTGTAGAAAAAAACAATAAACAAAAATCCAAAATATCTTAATTTTGTCCATTTTGAGAGCATTAAGCCTACCCTCAGTAGTTGTCCAAGTTTCTAAGAGTTAGGGTGAAGACAGGACATGACTGATGCGCAGTACTGTGCAACCAAAGCTTTAGAAAGGGAACTGGGTAAAGAGGCGTGTCGCCTTATGCCACCTTGTGGCAGAATTGGGTAGTTAATGAAGACCGGCTGGAGGTCGAATGACTTGGGTCCTTCAACAAATACTCATTAAGTCATCATTTGAAAAAAAAAATCACTTAAAATCTGAGTCTGTTTTCTCCTTTTAAAAAAGATTACTATTTGCTTAAATTATGTTTTTGATACAAGCAATGAGACTTTAAAAGTGAAATAAAATATTAAGTATTCTTTTTATCATTGCTAATGCTGTTTTCCCATTTATAAGTGAGGGAAAAACTTATTTTTCCAGGGATATTCCTTTTTCTCTTGATTAAGATGGTGAACAGAAGGTGGCTGGTCAGAAATGAATGGGGAATGCATTCAATGAGAGAGATCTCTGCCATCCTCCTCTTCATCTATTCTATTTTCCCAATTCGCTAGAGTGAGACAGGCTACTTTGAAGATGTCAGATGGCTGACTGAGGTGCTCAGAAAAGACAGATCTCACCAGTAGCTGCAGAATATGGTTACCTACTATGATGGTTAATTTTATGTGTCAATTTCGCTGGGCCACTGTGCCCAAATAGTTGGTGAAACATTATTCTGGATGATTCTGTGAAGGTGTTTTTGTTTGTTTGTTTGTTTGTTTGTTTTTTTGGATGAGATTAATATTTAAATTGGTAGACTAAAGCAGATTACCCTCCAAAATGTAGGTAGGCCTCATCCAATCAGTTGAGAGCCTTAATAGAACAAAGACTAACCTCCCCTGAGCAAGAATGAATTCTGCCAGCAGACTGCCTTTAGACTTAAACTGCAAATCTTTCCTGGGGCTCCAGGTTGCAAACCTGCCTTGTAGATTTTGGTTTATCCAGCCACCACAATCCTGTGAACCAATTCCTTATAATGTCCCTCTCTCTCTTTCTCAAATCTCTTTCTACACACACACACACACACACACACACACACACACACACACACACAGAGTTGATTTTATTTTCTGGAGAGCTGTGACACCTGTGAAGGTGTTAGATAACTGGAACTTTTGAGAAAGACATATATCCCAGTTGCTAGAGAATATGGTTACCTACATGGTGAGAATTGAAAGGTACTAGAAAAGTCTGCTCTCTTTGTAGAATCTTCTCTAACACTCAAGTGTGGGTTGAAGTTAGGGGTGACCTAACTCAGTTGATTGGCTCCATTTCCCTGAGATTCTCTTGGTTCTGCTCACCCCTATGTGGTCGCTCCATTCTCAAGAATGATCTCAGGAAGCCTCCAACAGTTTCAGCCTCACACAGAAAATCTGGAAGATAAAAATCTGCTTCAATTCTAGTATTCAAAGAAATTCACCCTGATTAAAGTGTCAATTGCTGACTAGGACTTTGGCTTGGGAAATGGAACTTAGTATTTAAGACAATCCTTGGAGATTGGGGTGAAATCAGTTTTCCCTAAGACTTAATGGAATCAAAGTGCTATATGGATACATGAAAAAAATCCTGGTTCTGCTAAGGTGAGGGAAGGGGAATAGCTGTTGGGTAGATCACCAATAATGTCCACCAGACACTTACGTAGTACCAGCAATTGATTTATCACAATGTAACACACAAGTGATGATACTCAAATTAAACTATACTAGTGCTAAGGAACCAGTAAAGATTAGTGGGGATTATGGTAAACAAGAATAACATGATCTATTAATAAAAGAGAGCCACGCCAAGCGTGGTGGCTCATTGCCAGTAGCTGTGGCTCAGGCCTGTAATCTCAGCACTTTGGGAGGCTGAGGTGGATGGATCGTCCGAGGTCAGGAGTTTGAGACCGGCCTAGCCAACATGGCGAAACCCCATCTCTACTAAAAATACAAAAATTAGCCAGGTGTGGTGGCGTGTGCCTGTGATCCCACCCACTTGGGAGGCTGAGGCATGGGAATTGCTTGAACCTGTGAGGTGGAGTTTGCAGTGAGCCGAGATTGTGCCACTGCACTCCAGCCTGGGTGACAGAGTAAGACTCTGTCTCGAAAAAAAGAAAAAAAAAAAAAAAGAAGAAGCCACTACTTTGCTCTAAGCAATGTGACCATGCAAAAATATAACCCTTCTGTTGCAAGATCATCAACATTTTTTAGAGAAACTGATAATTTGGATTTTTATGTAAAATAGCCATATTTTAAATGTTGGCAACTAAGTTCATTTTTGTTCTTGTTTTTAACCACGCAGGACAGCCAATACTGTCTAAAATAAACAAAGCATAACTGTTGGCTAAATGCAGTCTGTGAACCTCTAGTTTTCTGGGCTAGAAAAACCATTACTTGCCATTCAGTAGTTCTATGAATGAAAGGCTTGCTAAGAGTAGAGGAACCAAAGAAGATGAGAGAATGAGTGTCATTGTCTCATACAATGCTTTTCGGCAGGTGTGTCCCCACTCACATGTTCTCAGGCTCCCACTTCACGGAATGAAATGTGAAGTCCACTTGGGGCCAGTTAATTCTTTCCAAGATAGTCAAGGTGTTCCACTGCCAGGCACCAGGAACACTTGTTTCCCTGGTGTTGACCATCTTACTTCATTTACAGGTAAGCCCTAGCAGGTACAGGGACAAAAGTCTTCACACTAACAGAAATCCAGTGTAGATTAGCTTCTTTTTTTCCCAAGATGCCTAAATTCTATTTTTTAAAAAAGATATAGCGATCATTCTTCCATTTCTAGACCCTTAGCTGACGTCATTAGGTAGTTTATCATAGTTCTGCGAGACATACAGCTTTTCATTAATAGGTTAGATTAATTACCGTCCTATCATTAAAACGCATTTAGTTTAACTGAATGGAAAATAGCAGTTTGTCATAAACTTAAAAAAAAAAATCAATGCTTAATTAGCTTAAAATAGACTAGTACTGAGATCAGAGACTGATTGGCGTTTATCTTTTCCCTGGACAATTTCTTGTTCCCAAAAAAGCACAAGGGCAGTAGTTGTCACTCCTGCTTACGCATTAGAATCTAGTGGATGGAAATGCGGGGTTTGGGGGGAGGAGATGAGGGGAACGCTTTTTTAAAAAAGCTTTTGTCCAGGCCAAGTGATTCTAATGTGTAGACAGGGCAGAATACCGCTCCCTGTGCGGGGGAAAAAATCCCCAACATCTGAAATTCCTCAAATCCCTCAGATTCTCTCCAGAACTCTTCATTTCAGCACGTAGGGGTACCAACGAACAATTTTCTGAGGTGTCTGAGGCTAGTCATGTCCCCGGAGATTGACGGGACCGTCAGCCAATCGGCCGTCTGAACGAGTGATGGCAACCCCAATGACAAGCAACAGAATGAGGAACTTTATCCCCGCAGAAAGACCAGATCGCAGTAGCAAAGGTCAACAAGTCAACAAAAGCCAAGGGCTCTCCGTCAGGCATCAGCGAGGCCCGAGTACTCTTAGAGGTCGTAGCCAGGAGAGGGTCCCGCGCTTGCCCAGCGTTGCTAGGGAGGCGGCGCTTGCTCAAGCTTCTCGTGCCCTCTCCGTACGTCACTTCCGCCCGGCGGGGTCTCATAGTCCTATGGGCTGGGTTGAAGCCACTTCCTTTTTTCTTTCCCTTTTTCCTCTCCGTGGCCCCGCCTCCCGGAAGTTCTGCCTTGTCTCCGCCGCGGGTCAGGGGTGAGAGCTGGAATCTCTGCACGGGCCTTGGTGAGTAACTGCTGCGAGTTCTGTTCCCGCGCGGCGCCAGTTCAAAGAACTTAGGTTAGATCACGCTTAGGGCCCAACAGGACTGTGCCAGGCCTCAGGAGTCTCCACCCTCTCCAGTTTTGGGGCCGTCAGTCTCCTGGGCCTGCAATTATCCACGCTGAGGCTGAGGTCTTTGGCTTTTAGCGAGTTGGATTGCAGCCTTGTTCTGCTTCTGTGTCTTCTCTCTCCAGGCGAGGTCCTACTGAGGTTGTTGCCAGCGATAGTCCTCTCCTGGAGCTTGAATTGGAAGCAGAGTAGTCTTGTTAGTCTCGGTGATGGCTGCGTTGTTTCCTGAAGTAGCCAAAGTGCTTTAGCATCCATTCCGCCTCCTTTGAGCACCCTGGGAGGTAGGCAGGGCAGACGAAAAATATATTCGTTAATATTGTGCAGTTGAGGAAACTGAAGCTCTTGGCGAATTCACTGTTTCAAAGCAACACGGCCTCTAACAGGCAGAACTGAAATTCGCACCCAGGTCTAACTAACGTAGGGTTGCATAAAACAGTGGAGAGAGCGTTTGGAAATAGGGAAAACACTGCAAACGTTAAAGAAGAGCTGGGGTTTCTGAGTGCTTACTTTGTGTTCGGCTTTGTGCCAAATTCTTTCTATAATTATATCATCCATTTTATTTTATAATAAGCATAGGAAGTATATACTGTGGTTATTTATTCCTGGGTTAGGAAACTGAGGCTTAGAGATGATAACTGACTTGTCTAGTACTAATGACTTTAGTAGGCATTTCACAGATCTCTTTCAGCTCTGTGATTCTTTCAACACTGTAGTATTAACTTCTGGCATAATCAAACTGCCCTTTTCTGATTTTGGCATTACAGGAAGAGAGATTCCAGAACTTTATTTTTGGTCTCTTCACCCTTTGCCCATTGTCTCATTTCTTATCACCATTCTTATCACCATCCTATTTAGAAATTTATAGTCATGTAAATTTAGCCTTGACTTTCTTTTTTTTTTTTTTTTGAGACGGAGTCCCGCTCTGTTGCCCAGGCTGGAGTGCTGTGGTGCGATCTCGGCTCACTGCAAGCTCCGCCTCCCGGGTTCAAGTGATTCTCCTGCCTTAGCCTCCCGAGTAGCTGGGACTACCGGCGCCCGCCACCACGCCTGGCTAATTTTTTGTATTTTTAGTAGAGACGGGGTTTCACCGTGTTAGGCAGGATGGTCTCGATCTTCTGACCTCTTGATCCGCCCGCCTCGGCCTCCCAAAGTGCTGGGATTACAGACATGAGCCACCGCGCCCGGCCCGCCTTGACTTTTACTCTACAATTTAATTTTTTTTTTTTTTCCTCAAAGAGAAATATGGAGATGGTTGTGGAATTAATGGATCCAGGTTAAAGGGTTGGCCAGAAAAGTTGCTAGTTTTTACTCTATTGTTTTACTCTATTGTTGCTTTGCTTACATATATTATGTCAGTTTCTGCCTTTTTTTCTATCAGGAAAACGACTGTCTTCTTCTGCCAAAATGTCAGGAATTGGAAATAAAAGAGCAGCTGGAGAACCTGGCACCTCCATGCCTCCTGAGAAGAAGGCAGCTGTTGAAGATTCAGGGACCACAGTGGAAACAATTAAGCTAGGAGGTGTCTCTTCAACGGTATGAGGAAACAGTGCCATGAAAGTGTGCTTGTCTTCTGTCAGTTGCAACTTGAAACTAAAAATTCATGGAAGCTTTCTGGAGTATGGGGAAGCTATTTGAAAAGAAGAGGGAAATAAAACAGGCTGAAAGTAGGTAAAATGATGTGGTAGTCAGTTCTAGAGGAGAGGTAGATTGATAGTTGTTCTTTGTTTTCAAGGTGTACTTATATTCTTTCGAGAATCTGGGAAGGTGGTGCCTGATACAACATTAACTATAGGTATTTAGCAGTGGGAAGATACACATTTATTTTTCATTCACTGAAAAAGTCAGTACCAGATTCTAAGAGACAGTTTAGCAATCATTGAGAGTATGGTGAAGAGTGAGAGTCTGAGACCAGATTGCCTGGAGTTGACTCTGAGCTGTACCACTTCCTAGCTGGCTGACCTTGTGTTATCCTTCCTTTGCCTGTTTTCTTGTCTGTAAAATGTAATTAGAGTACCTGCTACATTAGATTTTTATGCATATAAAATAAGAGTCCCTGTTAAGGGCTAACACTTTGCATTTAATATAGTAAATAGTCAATAAATGGGAGGCATTCATAGCTAATATTGGGCTAGATAATATAATGGTGCATAACATAGATATTATCCTTGCTCTTATGGAGCTGACAAAATGAGTATTATATACCAAAATCTCATAGTAATGTTATATATCTGTTAGACATCAGAAGTTTACAGGTTTTGATCTACGTCAAGATTTTGCTTTTTTGAAAATCAGACATGGGGATGTGATATTAAAATGTTTTACATTTTGTAAAATGCTTTACATTTGTATGGCTTGCAAAACCACATCTATTGCTTATTTGATTTTGAGGCTGAGGTTTATTTTAGAGAGGCTGATTTTTTTTTTTGAGTCAGAATAATAGGAACATTCATAGTGAGTTGTTGATGAAGTGTCATTTCTGAGGCTGCCTGAGGTTCTGGTACTTAATATTGCTGGCAGGAAGTGATTTTTGTTTTAGCACTGCCTTGCATCATGCATTCCAAAGGCATTTATTCACTCAATATATAAATATTTGTTGAGTATTTGTTATTTGCCAGACACTATCCTTTACACTGAAGACAGCCCCTAGACTTTAGTTTGTAGGGTAGCACTGACAAGGGAATAGACTGTTTAGAGTGGGGTATGTGCTGTTGACAGGGATAAGCACATACTTATGGGAAGCACATAGCACACACCCCAGTGTGGACTTTATCCAGAGGCAATGAGGAGTTAGTGGATAGTCTTAAGTAGGAGACTAACATGCTCTGACTTGTGTTTGGAGACTATAGAAAAGCAAGGATTATAAACAAGAGTCCAGCTAGCAGACTTTTTTCTTTTCTTCTTCTTACTCTCTTTCGCTATAACTGCATCTCTCCAAAGGTGGGGATCTGAGGCATGTATCCACTGATCCCCGCTCCAATTGGTTGAAGGTTGCCATTGAAAGCAGTCCCTCCTGTGCATTTTGAGATTGCTGTTAGGAGCCAGCTGTGATTGCGGGACAGAAAAACTGAGTCTCCAAAGTGTGCTTGAAGTGGGAACAATGGCAGTGTAAATGGAGCTGTCCACCACAGCTGTGCTGAAATCTGGCAGGCTGACAGGACTTAGCACAGAGTTTTTGCTATAGGAGGCCTTTGCAGTAATCTTAATGAGAAATCATGGTGGCTTGGACCACTGTGGAGGTAGCATTGATAAGATCTGCTGATGGATTGGATAACTCACATGAAAGATAGGAGGGAGGATCATCCCAGGATTTTGAAAGTAATGGAATTTTTACTTACTGAGCTAGAGAAGTGTATGAGAGGAGCAGATTTTTGGGAGTCATGGAGGATGAATTGAGTTTGGTTTGGTTTGGGACATATAAGTTTGAGATACTTATTTGACCTCTGAATGGATAGGTAGTTAATAAGCTGGATACTAGAGAGAGGTCTGGGCTAAAGCTGTATATTTGGGAATCGTCATTTTGTAAGTTGTGTTTACATCTATGAGACTACAGACTCCTTTAATGAATAAGCATAAAGAGGTCTGCTGGGGCACTACAATATTTTCATGTCAAGGAATGAGAAAGGACTAATCAAAGATACAAACAAAGAGGGACCAATGAGGTAAGAGGATAGGAAGAGAGAATGGGTTCCCAGAAGCTCAATGAAGAAAGTATTTCAAGAAGGAGCTGATTAGGTGCTGCTGATGTGTTCTCATTCAGGTTTCAGTTGGAACAAGGGGAATAAAGGGAGGACTGAGGTGTTATATTTAATAATAGTTCACTGGAGATACCAAAACACCTTTGTTGGTGAAATAGTGGGGATGGCACCCTGTTTTCAGTGAGCTTAAGAGAATATGAGGGGAGAGGAATTAGGAAAAAGAGAGTAGAGACAATGCTTTATAAAGGAGTATCGCTGTAAAGTAGATGACTATATAATGACTGATCATGGAATTTAAGTTCAGTAAAGAAGGAGGTGAGAGAAGTGAAAGGTATAGGACCAATGGATTGTAGATCCTGGAGAGGTTAAAGAATTTTTGGAGTAAGGAAACTGGAGAGAGTGAGCTGGAAAAATAGTGGTAGTTGTGAAGAATGAGGTGTTTGAAATTGAGCTTATAGAGGACATGTAGGTACAAGTAAGACTAAATGTGGGAGTTGGTGGCTGAAGGAGGTAGAAGACAAGATCATTGGTGAAGAGGAGGTCAGTGACTTGATGATTCAAGTATAGGAAAGGTTATCTGTATGGGTATTGAAATCATTAAGAATGATGACAGGAAAAGTATTGGAGAGTGATAATAAGGTAGGTGCTAAGTCTTTGTGAAATGTGAGGAAACGACGTGGGCATTTACAGATGAATTCAACAGAGCATGGCGGCAGGTGGTATAGGCTAATGGCATGAGCTGCAGAGGTAGGAGGTTTTAGGGAGGAAGGTGGGGTAATGGCCTGGAAGTGGCAATGGAAAATAAGGAGGATATTCATCCCTCTCTGGCTTCAAGGGGTGTGGAAGAGAAACAGCCACCACTAGAGAAGCCTGCAGGGAAACAGTTTCTCATCCAAGTTTCAGTTAGAGCAAGAAGGGAAAGGCAATGTTCAGAGAAGAGTTTGAGGATATAGTTTATTAATAGTGTTAATAAACTGGTACAGTGGGAAAACTGTTGACTACTTTGGCATATTAGGAATGTTTTAATTAAAGTGGAAAAGAGAAAAATGAAACAAAAATTGGTGGTGTAATAAACAATTGTCACTTTAAAATAATGATTTCATTAATTCCTCAGAAAAGTAAGACTATTTTTCCACATGCTGGTTCTTTGCTTGTTATATCCTCCAATCCCACCTCCCACCAACCCCTCCCTGGTTTGTCCTAGGGAAGGAGCTGGAGAGAGAAAAATATTGAGAGGGATGTGAAATTACTAATGGAGTGAGGGTTTTGTAGAGACAGAAGAGAACAGGATCCTGAGCACAAGCTGAGGTTTTAAGAATGTGTGCATAATTGTGTTAATGGGTCAAAGAGATGGGGAATTGTTTTCCATCTGATGGCTTCTATTTTCTCATTAAAATAGGAAGTAAAGCCATCTGTTTTGTATGATGTAAAAGGGGGCAGGGTTTGGTAGAGGTTGATGTTGCCTTGCTGGAGAATGGGAAATAGCTCACTTGATAAAGAAATATTTCTAGACAAATTATAAAATCTGTTTAGGCTAAGAATTCATTTTGTAAAGGCACCGGTTTCGGTGGTTTGATGAACTTCTCTAGAAGTCTCAGCATACTGGGTACAGGAATGGAATAGCCAGATAACTGGATTAATTCAGATTGGGGTTTGTTGACAGAGATAGAATAAAAGGATTAAGGGCAGAGAACCAAGGAGGCTGTTAGGCAGGTGTTTGAAGGAATGTACTATATAGCATATGATTAAGATATGGAAGGTAGCAGAGATAGAAGGAGACCGAAAAGGAGAAAGAAAAGAATTCAACATTCTGGAGATCTTGATGAGGTAAAGGGATTGGTATATTGGGTTAAGGGCATGAGATACCTGGAAAGACGTGGTGTTTTTCAGGGAATGGGAAGTTGGAATATAAGATTTCAGATGTGGTACAGTTCCAGATAATGACAAAAGTCTGAGATGTGTCTTTTGAAGTGCATGGCTGAAGCACAGTGGAGGAGATAATGTTTGGAGTGAAGGAACTGGAAAAACTGACAGCCTAGATGCTAGAGGATTAGATGGTTTGTCCACATGTATGGTGAAGTCACCAGATATATTGGCAGGAACTGGGATAGACAGGGACCCAGGTGCTGAAGTCTTTAATGAAGGAAGGATGGTGCTTACGAGATAGAAGACAGTGTTGATTGGAGTCGAGGGTGATCTAGCTGGATGGTGGCCTTAAAGCAGCATTACTTTGTAGATGTTTATGTGACTAGAACAGCGAGATGGGTTGAGGTTCTGGTGTATTTGTGTGTATTATTCTTTCCTCACACCATCATATACCTGTTGTTTATCTCTTCTGCTTCTACTTCTTAATTACTTGTAAGATTTTTTAAAAGTCAATAGCTTTATTCATAGAAAATAACTAATGAATAATTGTGACCTTGTTGAGTTTAACGGCTCATTTTTCTTATTTCTTTGTGGAGACTAATACGATTGGTTTACTGGGCAGGAGGAACTAGACATTAGAACACTGCAAACCAAAAATCGCAAGCTGGCAGAAATGTTGGATCAGCGGCAGGCCATTGAAGATGAACTTCGTGAGCACATTGAAAAACTGGAACGACGACAGGCCACTGATGATGCCTCACTATTGATTGTCAACCGATACTGGAGTCAGGTAGCTAACTTGTTTATTTGTTCAGATTTTTATTTGACCAATTTAGTTCTCCTTACTGTTCTCTTCATTTCCAAAGTTGTGTCCTTTGTTTCTTCATAATTGTACCTACCCTTCTCCAGTTTGATGAAAACATCCGTATCATCCTTAAACGTTATGATCTGGAGCAGGGCTTGGGAGACCTACTCACAGAACGAAAAGCCCTTGTTGTGCCTGAACCAGAACCAGACTCTGATAGCAATCAGGAGCGTAAAGATGACCGAGAGAGAGGCAAGTGTTCGTGATGGATTCTATCACTGCATGCTATCTGGGTTTTTAAAGTAGAGCTCTGCTTTGAGGCTTTCCATTTGAGGGAAAAAAAATGGATTTTGTTATTTCCAGTTTATAATTTTGGGGGGCTTCTTTTTTTCCCCCTGTGTCCTCAGGGGAAGGGCAAGAGCCAGCTTTCTCTTTCCTTGCTACTTTGGCCAGCAGTTCCAGTGAAGAGATGGAGTCTCAGCTGCAGGAACGTGTGGAGTCTTCCCGCCGAGCCGTGTCCCAGATTGTGACTGTTTATGATAAATTGCAAGAAAAAGTGGAGCTCTTATCCCGGAAGCTAAACAGTGGAGGTGAGGCAAGACCCTGGAGGCCGGGAGTAGTGGAGGAGGAATAAGAATTCATTTTTGCATGCTAATTTGTAGTTTGCAAGCTTACATATTTATTTTTATTTATTTATTATTTACTTTTTAAGAGATAAGGTTTCACTGTGTCACCCAGGCTGGAACACAGTGGCACCATCATAGCCCATTGAATCCTCGAACTCAAGCAATCTTTCTGCCTCAGCTTCCGAATAGCTAGGACTATAGGCACGTACTACCACACCTGGCTAATATTTTAACCTTTTTGTAGAGAGGAAGTCTTGCTATGTTGCCCAGGCTGGTCTCAAACTTGGCCTCAAGAGATCCTCTCTTCTGGCCTCCCAAAGTGTTAGGATTACAGGCATGAGCCACTGTGCCTGGACTATATATTTTAATTAAATTTTTAGAAATTCTAACCTTCAGTGTTACTGGTAATGTCTTCATTATGGCATATTAATCTTTTATCAGTGCTTCTCATTTTGAGCCACATGACAGTCCTTTAATAAGCTGAGGAAAGAGTTTATCAGCTCTATACTGATATACTCTATTAATGACAGTTTTGTAAATAGCAGAATTAACTTTATTATTTAATAAACAGCTCTAATATCTGGATCTGTTTATCGTGTATGTAGGCTATTGATTTATAGTGATAATACTTTATTTTAAATAACAACTATATTATTTAATTATTAGTTACAGAATTTTGACTTGAAAAAGTTAATTTTTACTTAACTTATTTTTCATTATCGCTAATGTTTTTAAAAAGAGTTGGTGCAGGTTTTAGAGTTGACAGATGATCTGTATGGTTAAAAGGATTATTAGAAAATATTCTATGGATGAAAGAGTATTTGAAATAAAATAATTATTTGGGATAATTGTGTTACTCAGAGTTAATGCAAAAATTTAAATTTGTACAGTAAAGTATTTGTGTAGCTAGGTTACATCTTTAGTCATTTGTGGCATAAATACCTTGCTCAAATGCAAAAAAAATGCCTTGATTTCATGTTTTCAATAATAATCATGGTCTAGTTGTAATATCTTAATTTCCCTGCTTATCATTAAGATGTTTAACCTTTCATTTCTGAAGGAAATAAGTTGAATGTAATGGAGGTTGAACCATTGGATGAGCATATAAGAATTGTATTATTCTGTAATTTTGCTTTTAAGGGTAATTGGGCTAAGTTGTCAACAGAATTAAGCAGCTTGTAGAAGGCCTGTGAAAATTTGGTCACGGGTTTCTTTTGCTTTTCCATTAGATTATGCATTTCTGTATTTTATTATAAGGAAAACAGATACTTGTTTAAAAATATACAAGTCAGAAATACAAATAAGTAGACTACAAAAGTTTCCCCATTCTCATTTCTCAAAAGATAACCATTCTAAACAATGTGTTTTATGTCCTCTCAGACTTTTGTACTTTTGTATTAATATCTTACATCTACTTGCATGTCCCCAGCTAAACTGTGTCTTGGTTCAGTAGTTTGGCTCACTCTTCTTTGTTTCTCTAGTTTCTAGCACTGCATCTGGCATCTAGCAGATGTTTAGTCAATGGGGAATGAATGGATGTGAACCTCCCTGTCACCTAATATAAAATAATGGTGCTTTGTGTGTGCACATATGCTTCTTTCTCCTTGGGCTCTAATTGAATAGTTAGAAGGTATTGTTAAATTTTAGTAATATGGTAATTAATATGCCATGTGCATAGACTATGTTAAACTTGATTTCATAAATGAATATCAAGTGAAACAATTGTTTTATTTAAAAAGGGAATAAAATGAGTAGTATATCAAACGACTTTAAAATTACTATTTAATGGCATGCATTTTAAGGTCGGGTTTAAGTTAAAAAGTAGAAACATTACAAATAGCCATGCCATTATTTGTAACACAAAAGGCAATTGCCATTGGTAAGCTGAACTTTCTAAGAGATAAAGATGTATAAAGTATGAATTATAGCATCAGTTGTAACTTGTTTGAAAGTTCATCCCCCTGACTTAGACTGAAAATTGACATTCCTCAAATTCCTAGGACATCATCAATACAGTAGTTTCTACTTCCCCATTCCCTGTGGAATTTCTACCACGCCATTCCTCAATAACACTATACAGTCTTTTATATTTAGGGTAATTCATTATTTGGAGGTTTGGAGTTGTGTTGTGTTTTACAAAATCCCCTATGATATGATAGGCCTTCTAGAGTAAGGTAAGGCCTTCTAGAGCAAGTATAGGCCTTATAGAGTAAGGTCTATAAATTCATCTAACCCTGCCAGAGCGGCACTGTCTAACCTGCCACGGCAGTACTGTCTAACCGTGCCAGGGCGGCACTGTCTAACCCTTCCAGGGCGGCACTGTCTAACCCTTCCAGGGCGGCACTGTCTAACCCTGCCAGGGCGGCACTGTCTAACCTGCCAGAGCGGCACTGTCTAACCTGCCAGAGCGGCACTGTCTAACTCTGCCAGGGCGGCACTGTCTAACCTGCCAAGGCAGCACTGTCTAACCCTGCCAGGGTGGCACTGTCTAACCCTGCCACTGCAGTACTGTCCAACCCTGCCAGAGCGGAACTGTCTAACCTGCCAGGGCGGCACTGTCTAACCTGCCAGAGCGGCACTGTCTAACCCTGCCAGGGCGGCACTGTCTAACCTGCCAGGGCAGTACTGTCTGTTTGTTTGGTCTTTGATTCAAAAGAATTGCATTTATGGGCTTGTTTATAAATTCACTAAACATTTATTGAATTTTATTGTATTCTAGCCCTGTCCTCAGTGCTTAGGATATTGAGAGGACTAAAATTCAGTCTCTACTTCTTAACTCAGGTTATGAATCAGAATAACCTTGGGAGTTTTCTGAGCATATTCTTATTTTTGGCTTTGCCCATGGAGGTTCTTATTAAGTAGGTATGAGATAGGTCCTAGGGAAATGTCTATTTTAAAAGTTCCACAAGTGATTCTGATGGGCAAGCCTAGCTTGAAAACCATGAAAACCACCATATGACCAACCTGTTCTGTATTGATACTAAGAGTAATGCCAAGAGGTGATATGAGAAAGCATATTTTTCTTCCTGATAACTCTCTTTGATGGGTGGTATATATCCTGAGAGTATCTGGTTTCATTTAATTACATTTGGATTTCAGCTATAGTATTTGCAACTCTAATTTTAAACATACGAACTTGGTGTAATAAGTTCTATGGATTTACCTACCTGCTTTGTAAATAGTAGTGTACATTTTGGTTTTTAAGCTTCAGAAGTGCCCCTAACATAGTATTTCAGAATATATGATATGAGAATATGTGATAAGAGCATATGATTCTTGCTTTGTTATTCAGGCTGGTCTTGAACTCCTGGCCTCAAGTGATCGGCCTGCCTTGGCTTCCCAAGGTGCTAGGATTACAGCGTGAGCTGCTATACCTGGCCAAGGATACACAGTTTTAAAATTTGACACTATAGGCCAGGCACGGTGGCTCACACCTGTAATCCCAGCACTTTGGGAGGCTGAGGTGGGTGGATCACCTGAGGTCAGGAGTTTGAGACCAGCCTGTCCGACATGGTGAAACCCCATCTCTACTAAAAATACAAAAATCATCCGGGTGTGGTGGCATGTGCCTGTAATCCCAGCTACTCTGGAGGCTGAGGCAGGAGAATCGGCTCGAACCCTGGAGGCAGAGGTTGCAGTGAGCCGAGATCGCGCCACTGTACTCCAGCCTGGGCGATAGAGCAAGACTCCGTCTTAAAAAAAAAAAAAAAATGACACTCTAGATGCTAAATTAAAGTATAGTTCTTCTTCCCCAGATAATCTGATAGTGGAGGAAGCAGTGCAGGAGCTGAACTCTTTCCTCGCACAGGAGAATATGAGGCTACAGGAATTGACAGATCTTCTTCAGGAAAAGCATCGCACCATGTCTCAGGAGGTACTTAACCAAAAAGGAGAGATGGCTGTGTCTAGTGGGCTGTGGCAGATGTTGACTTACAATTCTGAGCACCTCAAAGATTACCTTACTCTAGAAGGCCTATCATATCATAGGGGATTTTGTAAAACACAACACAACTCCAAACCTCCAAATAATGAATTACCCTAAATATAAAAGACTGTATAGTGTTATTGAGGAATGGCGTGGTAGAAATTCCACAGGGAATGGGGAAGTAGAAACTACTGTATTGATGATGTCCTAGGAATTTGAGGAATGTCAATTTTCAGTCTAAACTTGGGTGCAAATAATGCCATGATTAAACCATGCCAAGATTTGGACATTTATTTATTTACACAAAATGATCAAGATAAAGTGATGATAGGCCTTAAATGACTTTTCTGATACTTCTGATGATCATTTTGATTTAGTTCAAAATATATTCTACTGGAATTTGCCCCACCTTAGTTTGGCCACTGAATTCTTATGCTAATTAGTAATTTAGTAGTTGCCATTTACTTAGTGCCTAGAATTTAAGCACTTTATGAATGTTATCTCTAATGGCAAAACAACTCCCATTTTATTGCCAAAGAAACAAATTCAAAGAGGTTAGTGATTATTCTGAGGGCACATAGCTAGAAAGTGATTGAGCTGTGTTGTGACTGTAGGTCTGTTTGACTTCAAAGCTCTTGTTCTTCATATGCCTTTGTTTACTAAACCCCAGTGTTAAGGTCCATGCTGGCCTGGTTGCATGAATATCATCTGGGGAATTTATTAATTCATATGGATTATCCTGGACCTTCAAAGGGGTTAGAATGTAGTAGCCCTTATAAATAAACTGGAGTCTAGTAAGAAAATAGAATATTTTTATCATGTTTTAAGACATTGACTAGGTGCTACCAAGATGGAGAGGTCTTCCTTTTCTAGCCCTTTGACAAATCTCAGATAGTATTACTAACCTGGAGGGCAGTTGTTTGCTAAACTGTGATGTCCTTGTTGGCTCTCATGGCTGGCTGTTGATGCTGCCTGTCAGCTGGGTTAATTGTCTACTGGGATACCTGCAGTTTGCCTCTCCATCATGGTAGTCTCAGGATGGTTGGAATTTTTACATGTTGGCTGACTTCTTCCAGTGAGCATCCCAAGATCACCAGGTAGAACCTTCATGGCCTTTCTGATATAGCCTCAAAATTGTGTAGTGACATTTCCATTGGGTCTCTAAAGTTGACCCAGATTCAAGAGGAGGGAACAAAGATCCCACCTCTTGTTCAGAGGACTTTCAAAGGATTTTTGTGTCATGTTTTAAAACCTAGCACAAAGGGTATATATAGATTAATGTGAACTTGTAATAGTTTAGTAGTTAAAATACTAAATAGTGTTAGCTGGTGTATAGCTCCTAAATAGAGTATCTGACTTTAGATTATAGTATAATCTATACTGTATTGTATCTGACTCTAGATTGCTCTGGGGTGAGCTTAAAAAAGAGTATGGAAGTTTTCTTTTGTTGTGAATGAATGGATTACCTTTTGTGGGACTGTGGAGAGAAATTTGGGGGTAAAAATGGTTTTTTTGAAAAAATATTTATCTTACAAAACAAAAGATACTATTTATTATCTCTTAAAAAATTACAAAATTTTTATGAGTTTGTGGTCTGTCCAGAGAAATGGTGCTTTTCAGAGGTAGAAAAATTGTTGAATCTTAGGTGGTCTTTTCTTTGTGTGAGAGTTCTTATAGACTTTAGACTTAAAGTTTGCATGATTATAACTGACACAGAATTGTTGGAGGAATCCGTGATTTCATTTTTGTAATCATGCATTGGGAAGAGGGTGAAGCATCTTCTATTTGCCTCTTTTCTATAATTACTCATAAGCAAGGGTTAATATTATGGAATTTGGTCTTTTTTTGCTATATGTTTCTGAATGTTTGTCTTTGGGATGTAGTTCTCCAAGTTGCAGAGTAAAGTGGAGACAGCCGAATCACGAGTGTCTGTCCTGGAGTCCATGATTGATGACCTGCAGTGGGATATTGACAAAATTCGAAAGAGGGAACAGCGACTCAACCGACACTTAGCAGAAGTCCTAGAACGGGTCAGTGCTGTTTTATGGCTTGGAGACTAGAATCATTTTAAGGAGTGTTCTCAGGAAGACTCACCTTGGGGCATGGTATTTGAGGAAAAAATCTCATCCTTTGAAGGTACATTGGTTATAGACTGAAATCTTAAGAGTCTCTCACTAAAGAATCTTTGTGTTCTCTGTAGGTGAATTCCAAAGGTTATAAGGTGTATGGAGCGGGGAGCAGTCTGTATGGCGGCACAATCACTATCAATGCTCGGAAGGTAAAATCAGTGACTCAGGACATGTTTTGGACTGTATGTCAGCTTTCATGCTTAGGTACTTAGGACTGTGTTCACAAGTGACATCATGGGGTTTTGCTGGAATAGCGAATCAGTGAAGAAAGGAAGCTTAGAAATGATTTAAGAAGAATACTTATTTATTCTCTATTTTTCTGCTTCTCTGCAGTTTGAGGAAATGAATGCAGAGCTTGAGGAGAACAAAGAGTTGGCTCAGAACCGTCTCTGTGAGCTGGAGAAACTTCGGCAAGACTTTGAGGAGGTCACTACACAAAATGAAAAGCTGAAGGTAGGAACGCATCCCTGAAGGGCAGTAAAATCAGACGTTCTGCTGATCAACTCACGTATATACATAGTTGTGAATCTGCGTATTCATGAGGGATAAGAAAAATGTAGACAAAATCCAACATCCTTTTATGATAAAACTCTTAACAAATTAGGTGTAAAGAAGTGTACCTCAACATAATAAAGGCCATATAAAACAAGCCCACAGCCAACATTATACCCAATGGCGAAAAGTTGAAAGCTTTTCCTTTAAGATCAGGAACAGGATAAAGATGCTCGCTGTCATTACTTTTGTCCTAGCCAGAGTAATTAGGCAAGGATAAGAAATAAAGGCCTCTTAATCAGAAAGGAAGAGGTAAAGTTGTTTCTGTTTATAGATGACATGACTTTATATATAGAAAACCTTACAGGCTCCACGAAAAAACTGTTAGAACTATAAATGAATTCAGTAAAGTTGCAGGCTACAGAATCAACATACAAAAACAATTGTGTGTCTATATACCAACAACAAACTCTATAAAAAAGAAATTAAGAAAACAATCCCATTTACAATACCATTAAAAAAAATTGTGAATAACCTTAACCAGGGAGATGAAAGAACTGTACACTGAATGGATAAAGAAATGTGGTGTGTGTTTGTATGTGAGTGTGTGTGTGTATATGTGCAACAGCATGGATATATTTAGAGGACATTATGCTAACTGAAATAAACCAAGCACGGAAAGGCAAATACTGCATGATCTCACTTGTATGTGGGATCTAAAAAAGTCAAAATCTTGGAAGCAGAGTGTAGAATGGTGGTTACCAGGGTTGGGGAAATCGGAAGATGTTGGGGAAAAGGTACAAAGTTTTAGTTATGCAGGATGAATAAGTTCTGGTGATGTGTAGCATGGTGACTATAATTAATGCTGTATTGTGTACTTGAAATATGCTAAGAGTAGATCTTAAATGTTCTTGCCACACACGAAAAGATAACTGTGAGGTGAAGGATTTGTTAATTAGGTGGATTGTGGTAATGATTTCACAGTGTATATGTATAGCAAAATGCCACATTGTATACCTTAAATATGTATAATTTTTATTTGTTGATTATACCTTAATAAAGCTGGGGGGAACAAAGAAAAAATGTTAAGTTTTGTTGATATATCTACTTCTTTACTTACATATTTACTTATTATATGTACTCTGCCTTGCCCTGAAAAGGATTTAAAGCAACATACAAAGATATGTAGACTAAATCAAGGTGCTGTAATGTAGGAGTTGTTGAGAAAAATGAGAAGTAGGGTAAACTAGGGTGAGGATCCAAAATGCATTAAAGTGGGGCTTGTATACAAGATGTTTGCAGGGGGCATATATATACTGTGGAAGGGAGGCCATTCACATGTCAGTGCTTACCGAAGTGATTCCACAGGTTTGGCTCTGCAGTTTTTTGCTACCAAAACAGAGAAAGAAACACGATTGGTGATCCTGTTGGTCTTCAAACCTGCCCAGAAGAATTTTCTTCTTAGGTTGTTAGTGTAGGGGCCAGCCCCACAGGGTCGGTGGGTCTCTCCCTGTGTGCGGAGACGAGAGAGTGTAGAAATAAAGACACAAGACAAAGAGATAAAAGAAAAGGCAGCTGGGCCTGGGGGACCACTACCACCAAGTTGCGGAGACCGGTAGTGGCCCCAAATGCCAGGCTGCACTGATATTTATTGGATACAAGACAAAGGGGCAGGATAAGGAGAGCAAGCCATCTCCAATCGTAGGTAAGGTCACGTGGGTCACATGTCCACTGGACAGGGGGCCCTTCCCTGCCTGGCAGCCGAGGCATAGAGAGAGAGGAGACAGAGAGAGAAACAGCTTATGCCATTATTTCTGATAATTAGAGACTTTTAATACTTTCACTAATTTGCTACTGCTATCTAGAAGGCAGAGTCAGGTGTACAGGATGGAACATGAAGGCGGCCTAGGAGCGTGACCACTGAACAGGTTAGGCCTCCGGATAACGGCGGACGAGCCTGACTAATGTCAGGCCCTCCACAAGAGGTGGAGGAGTAGAGTCTTCTCTAAACTCCTCCCGGGAAAGGGAGACTCCCTTTCCTGGTCTGCTAAGTAGCAGGTGTTTTCCCTTGACACTTACGCTACCGCTAGACCACGGTCCACCTGGTAACGGGCGTCTTCCCAGAAGCTGGCATTACCGCTAGACCAAGGAGCCCTCTGGTGGCCCTGTCTGGGCATAACAGAAGGCTCGCACTCTTGTCTTCTGGTCACTTCTCACTGTGTCCCCTCAGCTCCTATCTCTGTATGGCCTGGTTTTTCCTAGGTTATGATTATAGAGCGAGGATTATTATAATATTGGAATAAAGAGTAATTGCTACAAACTGATGATTAATGATATTCATATATAATCATATCTAAGATCTATATCTGGCATAACTATTCTTGTTTTATATTTTATTATACTGGAACAGCTCGTGTCCTCGGTCTCTTGCCTCGGCACCTGGGTGGCTTGCCGCCCACATCTTAGGAGAAGAAAAGAGATTCTGGAAGTCTTTCTCACTCCTCTTTCGATCATAGTCATCTCTATTTTACAAGTTGTTTGTAGGTTAAATGATATGAATAAAGATGTTTGAACTGAAAAATAAAAAACAAAAACAACCTAAGTTAAATCAGTTAAAAGTGTTTGAGTAATTAAATCAGATAGTTGCTTAGGAGAGGCATAACTATTTTTGATACCCTGTCAATTTTTTTCTCTGTCACTGTTATTAAAGAGAACAAGTTAGTGACTGGGGTCCTCAACTATGTTTTTAAAATAAGCATCCTGACAAATTTCACTCTTCTGGTGGCTCATTTGACACAGAATATAAAACACATATCAAAACAATTCTAGGAGGAAAGAATACAGTATATCCAGGTACCATCTCCTAGTTAGTCTAATTTAATTTTGGGGTAGATTTTACATAACTACAGCAATGGGTAGATAACTTAATAATCTTTATAAAATTGTCTCTCTTGTGTAGGACATCAGTGAGTTCAAAATTTTACTTCCTGTCTAGCGTCTGGGGCAATGCTAGATTCTGCTTCTGACTTTGCTTTGGGCCCTCCTAAGGTGGAATTGCGGAGTGCAGTGGAGCAAGTCGTTAAGGAAACTCCAGAATATCGCTGCATGCAGTCACAGTTCTCCGTCTTGTATAATGAGAGCCTACAGTTGAAAGCACACTTGGATGAGGCTCGGACCCTGCTTCATGGCACCAGAGGAACCCACCAGCACCAGGTTGAGCTTATTGAGGTAATAGCCTTGCCTTGTCTTTTGTATGTAAGCTTTCTTGCCTCCTAAATTTTACAATTTTACTCCCTCATGTGCAATTAATCTCTCATTCATTCAGCTGTCATTCATAGAGTGGCAGTAGGTCTTTACTCTGGTAGGTACTGGGCATATAAAGATGAGATGACAAAATTCCTGCCCTCACAGATCTTGTAGTCTGCAGTAATGGGAGAATAGTATCCATTAGAATGCAATGTGGTACAATGGCAGCATAGCCAAAAGATGTGATACATGAGAAAAGAGTGTCTGATTTGACTGTGGAAGTTTCCTGATTCCACTTAAAAAAGTAAGGTATAAATATTAAGGATAAATTATTGGTAGTTGAAAGTAGGAGAAGAAGAATTCCCGGCATGAGAACAGCACATATAAAGGTATGAGAGAGCATGAGAAATAGTTTAATATGGCTAGAGCTTACGTGTATGTGAGAAAATAGTGGGTAGAAGCTGCAAAATTACTTACATTTCTTAAACAAAAAGCATATAATGGCACCAGTAGATGATTTTTTTAAAAGATAGAAACTTTTATTCATATGTTCATTTCTGTATCTTCCATAGTTTTTAAGGTAATGGTTATAATAGTTGGTCTTTTAATATATGCCTGACAAATGAATTGAATACTATTTTACATATGTTTATATACTGTTTTATAGTTTAGTTCTCCAACTAAATTCTAATATTCTCAGAATTGGTGGCCATTTTCTTTATTTTTCAGTATCCTGTCAGTTTCCAAATTAGTCTTTTGTAGATATCTGGTTTCATTACGTATAGATTGAACTGGAAATTTTCAGAGTAATCCATAGAATATGATGATATTTCTACATTTTAATAAGAATTTTTTTATTGGTTCCTTTATCTGTGTGTAGCGAGATGAGGTTAGTCTTCATAAGAAGCTGAGGACTGAAGTAATTCAGCTAGAAGATACATTGGCCCAGGTCCGCAAGGAGTATGAAATGCTGAGGATAGAATTTGAGCAGACCCTTGCTGCCAATGAACAAGCAGGTATAATGATTCTCACTCCATGCTGTAGTTTGCTCTTAATACCTTCCTTGAAAGATACAACACAGACCCCAGGGTTTGTTAATGCTGACTTCAACTCAGAAGTCATAAGTACCTTAAATCCTATAATTCATTTTGGTTCACAGCCTGGATGTTTGTTTTTTAACTCAAGTTGACCAGTTTTGTTTTCATCTTCTGAGAAGGAATCTTTTATTTGGTAATTCTCCCTATTTCTCAGTGCCTCCTGATGTGTTCTGTTCTTTCTCTCCTTGTGCCTTTGCCCTTACCACGGTTCCTCATAACATTGTTGTTCCTGTATTTAAGGCCCTATAAACAGGGAGATGCGCCACCTCATCAGTAGCCTCCAGAATCACAATCACCAGCTGAAAGGGGAGGTCCTGAGATATAAGCGGAAATTGAGAGAAGCCCAGTCTGACCTGAACAAGGTAACCAGAGGGAATAGAATAAATATCATTTGCTATTAATGTCGTAAAGCTGCTTTTGAATGAGGTCGGCAATGTGGTTATCATAAGAGATGTGCATCTTTCTTTTCTTTATTCTCCCAGACACGCCTGCGTAGTGGTAGTGCCCTCCTGCAGTCCCAGTCTAGTACTGAGGACCCGAAGGATGAGCCTGCGGAGCTAAAACCAGATTCTGAGGACTTATCCTCCCAGTCCTCAGCTTCAAAGGCATCTCAGGAGGATGCCAATGAAATCAAGTCTAAACGGGATGAAGAAGAACGAGAACGAGAAAGGAGGGAGAAGGAGAGGGAACGAGAAAGAGAACGGGAGAAGGAGAAGGAGAGAGAACGAGAGAAGCAGAAGCTAAAAGAGTCAGAAAAAGAGAGAGATTCTGCTAAGGATAAAGAGAAAGGCAAACATGATGATGGACGGAAAAAGGAAGCAGAAATTATCAAACAATTGAAGATTGAACTCAAGTAAGAACCACATTTAGAGTAACAGTTTCGACTGAAAAGCTAAGATTAAGACATCATGCATGAAATGTTTGGTTGATGGCATGGCTTGTCTGATCGTTTTAATGTTTTAGATTGTACAATTAATTTGGTTTCAAGTCGTGTTCAAGTGCACAGCCAAAATGGCTTGCATGGCTATTTAGTACTTTGGTTCAGTGATCGAGTATCAGCAAACCGATGATGGTAGCCTTATTTTTATGAATCCAAATTAAGGAAAAGGATGTCATGATTGAGGTAATACTTCTGAGAATTATTGGGAATTAACTACTGCTCTTCACTGGATTTGAGCAGATTGCTGGCGTTAATTGTAATTTAAATGATATTAAGTGGAGTATTTATATATCACTGTAACTTGAACAATATCTGATCTATTTGCCTGAGAGTTAACTGGTTTGTGAATATGCCATATCTTTCTTAGGAGATTTACTCCTATACACATTGACACACTAAGATAGACCTTTAACTTGTTGAATTTTTCTGTGTCATAACCTTATGCATTGGCCCTTCTCCTGTATAACCAATAACTTCTCTGGCAGAACGGCTTACTTCTTGCTCCTTACTTTCTATGGTTGATCCTTTGTTGATGTTTGGACTTGAGAGACCACTGTGCTCAAAATGCTTGAACTCTTTTGGTATATAAAAGTATAGTTAAGAGGTTTAGTAATTTAATAAGAGGTGAAGTTTTAGTCTTTGGCTGATGGTTAATCACTCAGCTGTCAAATCTAGGATTAACAGTATATCTCAGACTTTCAAATTTTTCCCTTTTATTTCTCCCTCTTGAACTCTTTAAGGCAATTTTTTTTTTTTCTGGTGTGGTATCAGAATCATCTGAGTGACTTGTTTAAATCACTTGTTTAAATTTTTGAACTCCATCCCCAGACCTACTGAATCTCAGTTACCCAGGGTTGGGGGCCACAGAAATTTGCCTATATAACAAGTACACAAATGTCTGTTTTATAACTTTGTTAGAGGACTTTGAAGGGAGAAATGATTCATTTTTATACAGCTTACTTTTCTGTACTTTCTAAGCATATCCAAAAGTCTTTTGATAGTCTGTGCAAAATTTTATCTTTTAGGTGTGATATGAAATGTAAAA